>NC_000022.11:34618654-34770170 GCF_000001405.40 Homo sapiens | reverse complement strand
GATTTTTGGTTCTACCTCCTGTCTAGCTATGTGCTTGGGCAAATCACTTAAACTTGCTGAACCTCAGTGTACTTATCCATAAAATTGGAGTTAAAATACTGTCTTTGTGGGGTTGTTGTGAGGATTAAATGCAGTTCCATTTAAAGTGCTTAGCACAGGGAGGTGCTCAAAATAATTAGATCTTGCCTCCCTCATTGTTAGTTCTCAGTCTTAACCCTCTCCCCTGCCAAAGGTATCCGAGCTCCCAGCAGCATGAATCTTCCCATATGGCCAACTCTACAACTCCCCATAGGCCCTATACCAACCCAGGCATCCAGGGTTCTTGCTAATTTAATGGGTTGAATTTTCAAGCAAACTTAACCTCTCAGAGGGGATCATAAGCCCCATTAATAAGAGGAGGCCTTCTCAGGTCTCTTGTAAAGCAGCCTCGGGTGTCATGTAGAATTTATCATGACAATCCAAATGAGATGGCAAAAGTATATTTCCATTTGAAAACCCCGATTACCCATTTGCTAATGCAAGCTGGCACCGAGGCAGGGGTGATATTTTTATTTATTTGTGGTTCAGTGTTTGTTCTTGTGATGATGTGTTTATCCTTCTTCCAAGGGCTGTTTGGAGCCCATCCAGCAAATGGGGTGCATTCATTTGCTTAGATTCTAATTACATTATAGAACAGCCAGGGATGGCACATTGCAGTTTTTCTAGTCTGCCTTTCTTCCAAAGCACTTGGGAAGGTGGATGGAAGAGAAATGTGATAAAGCAAGTGTCTCTGTTTAGCTGGTAAATTAGGACCAGAGGATGTGAGTGGGGCCACTTTGAGGGTGAAAAAGGCCTAAATCATCCCTTTCAGTTACTTACCATGAAAATACCTCACCTTCTGATCACGTAGGTCAATGGGAGTTCTGTATCTGCAGGTATACCCTGAAGAAAGTACTTCTTTCTTTCTATATTCACATAGTAATTAATAAATCATAATACTTACTGAGCTCCTTTTATATTTCAGGCACTGTTCTAAGCACATTAGTTGCATTACTTCATTTGAACGTCATAAAAATATTTTTAGATAAGTATCTTTGTTATCACCATGTAACAGATACAGAAATGGAAGCATACAGAGGTTAACTTGCTCATGGTCAGTTACTAAATGGTGGAGTTAGGTGTCATAACCAGGCAGAATGGCTTTAAAGCAGTGTTTTTAACTGTAGTAATTTATTAATATTAATATAACACATTGGTGTTTATTATTAATATAGTAATAGATGTATAAACAATTGACAGATAGTTTGATAGATGACTGTAGCCAAGTGTGCTGTTTAAAATTTTTTTTATTTATATATAATAGTTGTACATATTTTTGGGGTATATGTGATATTCGGATACCTACATGCAACGTGTAATGATCAAATCAGGATAATTGGGATGTCCATCACAAGTCTGCCATGGGATTCTCAATTCATTTTTTTTCTTCCTGGCTGCTTGGCTCAGAGTACACTTCCCAGCATCCCTTGCAGTGAAATGTAGTCAGGAGACCAGATACACCAATGGAACAGGAGTAGAAGTAATGCGTGCAACTTCTGTATTCCATGGTTAATAAGCAGTATCCAGTCCTGGACTTCGCCTGTTTCCTCCCACTGACTGGATATGGTTGACAACCGGGTTTGCCTCAGAAGCCTCACATTGAGGTTCTCCCACCCCAGCCTGGTTCCCATGATGGTTTTATGAAGCAGAGGCTGCCTACCTGCCTTGCAGTGTTCTGGGAGAGAGTCATCAATTTCCTGGCCCTTTATGTGATTGAATTGTTGAGTCTCTGTTATGGAGCCCTTACTCCAACTAATATAGTGACTTTTCTCCCCCCTTTCATAGAATCAAATAATTTTTTCCTTTAAAGGTAATCCAGACTAACTTTTGAATCTGTCACCTGATAGAGCACATGCTGAAGACCTTTACTTGTAGATGGCTGACTTCCTACTGAGTCTGCCTATTCTATATTTAAAAGCTCTATTATTAGAATGTTTTCCGAAGTTTAAATTCTAAGCTAAAATGCAATTCACATGCATGGCTCCAGTGCTCCTTGAGGCCATACAAAACAATTGTGATTCCCTGCCCTACATCAAGAGCCTTCCATTTTCTGAAAATAATAGTCATGTCCCATGGATGCTCTCCTGGGCTAAATGTTCTCCATTCCTTCAAGCTTTCTTATAACATTGTTTTGAGATCCACGTACCTACTTCTGACTATACTCCTGGGTGTCTGTGGTCCTGGAAACATAGTGATTCAGGACAAATGCCAGCCTTGCTACACATGTGGTTTGCCCAGCTTGGAAAACAACAGAATAATCACTTCTTAGTTTCTTTTCCACGCTTATTTTCATTCATCTTGATATGAATTCAACAAACATTCTGTGTGTTCCATGATCTTCAGAACTTGCAGATATGGTTTCAGTATATGCTAGGCATGGCTGATTTACTTTGATCCTTCTGAGGCCTGCAGTGTCTTATTGTCCTGTCTGAGGAAAACTGATTGTGGGACACAAGTTCAGGACTTACCAAATATCCTTCTTTAATCCCATACTGTGCCATTTACTTCCCACACTGTCCAGGCAACACTGCTCCCTCTCGATCCTGCCATCTGATATTTTTTCCCAGGAAGATGATTGAGCAGTAGAAAGAGTTTTGACAGAGAGCCTCTAGAAAATAATAAATAAGCTTTAATTTGTGATTCGCCAACCCCAACACTGGCAAGCCACATACCACATCATTTATCATCAACCTAGTATTTAGTTTATGTGCATAAAAAGAACATTTTTAATACCAGAGATGACTTACTTGACCTTGCAAACTGTGTTTCTTAGACTATTATTGTATTTAGTGATGGGTTATTAAAAAAATCATGCCTTATACAATAGAACACCTTTAAGTCTCTAACTTAGGTTTGAATAATTTCCTGATAGGTAGTAAAGGAAACAGTTCAGTTAATCAAAACTAAAGATACTTTAGAGAGTCTGAATGGAATAAATGGATGTGGCATATGAGGGTATTAAAAGTGTCCACAGAAGAAAGAACCCTTTGAGGTTTCTCTTGGAAACACTAATTTCCTGTATACTCTCCCTCTTCAAGTTTATCTCTATAATCTATTTCATCCCACTGTATGTTACTCTTTCTCTCCATCTCCCATTTCCCATCTCCTAGCTTTCACACACACACACACACACACACACACACACACACATACACATACACACAGACACAAGGATGGCCAGAAGGTTGTTTTGCATGGCTACTTTCTCCATACATTTTCAGCTTTGCTTTTAGGTGTCCTTGGTGTTTCTGGTTAGGTATGCCCTGGTAACTCCTGTGACCACTGCCTGTTCAGATCTGACCCTGATGATTCTCATCCCTGGCCAGGTCATTTCTTGGCTTCCTAGTAGAGTAGAGGGTGATGTCTTTATTTCTGACATGCACAGACGTTTTATAGACTTGTCACCTTCCCTGGAACTACTTGGGAGTCAAGAAGATTCAGTAGCTCAGTTACCAAGACTGAGAAAGCACAAGAAATAGATAAAAAGACCCAATATTCTATTATTTCCAGGAAAATTGAAGAGCGATTGGTATAGGAACAGGGTGAGATAGGTGCTTTTGGTCAGGGGCTGCAGGCATATATGTTCTGCGAGGACAAGTGTCAGTTGGCTGAAGCTGCTGTAAGAAAATACCCATAAACTGTGTGGCTTCAACAACAGCCATTTATTTCTCCCAGTTCTAGAGACTGGGAAGCCCATTTGGTTCCTGGTGAGGGCTCTCTTCCTAGCTTGCAGATGGGCACCTTCTTGCTGTGTCCTCTTGTGGTGGAGAAAGACACAGCTCTAGCCTTTTCCTCTTCTTAGGCACTAATCCTATCAATCATAGGGCTTCCACGCTTATGGCCTCATTTGACCCTATTCCCAAAGGCCACACCTCTTAGAAGCCTCACAGTGAAGTTACGGCTTCAACATAAATTTTTGGGACCACAAACATTCAGTCCATAAACACAAGAAAAATAGACCTGCTCTTTTTACATCCCAACTTGGAGTCCCAGCTCTGCCACTTACTAGCAAGAAACATTAATCCTCCAAACCTCAATTTCTCCCTCTATAAAATGGGGCTCTGAGAATTTATGTTGGAGGTCTTTGTGATGTATAAATGCTCAGGACATGTCACTTCCCATCTCCTTCCCTCAGAAGCTAGATCACACTTCTGTTCATCATTTGCCTTTGAGTAATAAGATATACTTTTCCAGGTTAGGCTTATCAGTAAAGTTAGCATTAAACTGGAAGAGTTTTGAGGCCAAGTGTGTGGATAAAGAAAATAACAATATCTTCCCAGTGAAGCTAATTAGAAAAGAGGGCAGAGAGCCCATTTCCTCTGTAAATGCAGTCTCTCAGTATCCACTCACTATCCTCCTAAGTCTTATCAGTGATTTCATAAATGTAAGAAATCAGTGATGAGAAAATTTGAGTGCACTTCCCCACCCCCCTCCCCGGCCCCACTACTAACAAGTTGGGTGTGAATGAAAACTGGGCTTTGTAAATGCCAGGAACAGTCCATGATGACTATGTGATGTCCTTAGTAAAGATTTGTCTATTGAACATATATTTACTTAGAACCTCCAGGTGTTGCATTTTAAGGTGGAGGCTGGAGAGTCACAATTTCAATGGTGAGTAACATAGTGCGCCGTGGCTTCATTCACACAGTTCTCTCTGCCTTGAATATCCTTCCTCCTGACCCCCTTGTCTGCCTGGAAAACTGCTATTCAAAATTGTTTACACATCATATTCTGTCTGATGCCTTCCTCATTCCTCCTAAGTATAATTACTCCCTCCTCTGAGTTCTCATGGTGTGTGCTCATAGTTTCATTTTAATATTTATCACACTAGCTAGTAATGATTTATTACACAGGTCTCTAGGCTCTTGTACAGCAGGGACTGTACCTTAATAATTATCCTTTTGAGACCTTGTATGAGTCTCAATAAACATAGTGCTCAGTGAATGAATGAGTGAAAGAATGACAAATCTCTGTCCTAGAGAAGTCAGGTTCTGGTAGGGAAAGAGCATTTATATTTCATATAGATTCCACAACAAAAATAAATGGCAAGTTTTATTATGCACATTTTACAGATGGGAAAACTGAGTCTTGCAGAGGTTAAAAAACTTGCTAAGGTCACACAGTGAGTAATTAGAGGATTGGGGATTAAAACTGAAGCCATTATTCTTCCCACTTCTCCATGGACACAATTAACTGTGATAAACTGATCTGAGGATTCTGGGAGCCATGTGACCTAAGATGAAATCCACATTCTGCAGAATTGAGAGTGTCATAAGAAGGTTGTAGGTTCTTCCAGGTCTGGGATAGATGGAGGAGGCTCAGAATGGAAATTAAGGAGGTGATGGCCTCTCACTGATCAGAAAATTGAGACTCAGATGGGACTTGGGATTACCTGAAGCAAGGCCATCCACCTCCTGAGGCCAGCTCTGCCAAATTCATCCCCCACTTCCCCCAGGGGTGAGGGCAGCCTGAGAGACCTGAGAAGGAAGGAGAGATCATATTAAATCCAGAATATCTATTTGGTAGAGTGGAAATGCCCTGATGTTTGATCCCATTTACTTGAGTAAGACTTTATATCCAGGCATCTCAGGTTTTAAATTACATGTCAGAGACAATTTTGCTCTCTGGATGTGACATGCAGGGTTGTCCTTCAGGCAAGCCAATATGAGCTTAGTGCTCAGCCTCTCCCTGTCTCCAGGAAGGGAGGCTTCTTGGTTTCATTCATTCAGTAAACCTTTGCTGAGCATCTCAGCAGGGCCAGGCCCTATAGTAAGGGTTGGGCATATAGACAGGAATAAGACATGATTCTTGGTCTTAAGAGGCTCTTAACATGATCATACTAATGGCTACTATTAATCTGTTGATTCCTTCAACATATATTTGTGGTGTGCTTACTCTGTGCAAGGCACTGGATCAGGCACTTGGGATCCATCAGGGAACAGGATAGACAAAAAGCCCTGCCCTGTAGCAGCTTATATCCTAACGGAGAGAGAGACAATAAATAATAAACATGATAAATAAGTTAGATTAGATTAAGTTAGATAATATGCTTGAATGTGATAAATGCTAATGAAAATGGGAAATCAATAAAAGGACAGGGTTGTAGAAATTGGAGTGCTGAGAGTGAGAGAGGGTTGCAGTTGTGAATAGGGTGGTAGGACGACACCTTGCAGCTGATGGCATAAGATGAAAAATGTGAAGGGGGCAGAATGAACCACAGTGATATCTGGGGAAATTGAAGCAGAGGGAAAGCTCTCACAAAGGAGCTTGGATGGAGTGTGCCTGGTGTGTTTTGAGACGCAGCAAGGAGCTCCCTGTGGCTAGAGTAGAGTGAGTGAAGGAGAGAGTAAGAGAGGAGATTAAGAGGAAATGGGGGTGGGCACAGCCTGTGAGGCTCTCTGCACCACTTCCAGGCTGTGGCTTTGATTCTGGGTGAAATGGGGAACTGTATAGAGACATAGACATGCTCTTCCTTACAAGGGGAGAGCTTCACTCTCAAATTCCTCCACAGGTTGGGGCAGAGAGACCAGGGAAGAGGCTGTTATATTATATACTCCAGGTAAGATGACAGTGACTAGGTTAGCTTGGAGCTGTGGAGGTGGTGAGAGGTGGTCAGACTGGGGACTGCAGTCATCATGCTGTGCAATTGATCTCAAAAATGCATTTCTTCTGTCTAACTGAAATTCTGTAGTCTTTGATGTTGGTCATTGAATTCTTAATATAACCCCAGGAGATAATATTTTTCTTTGTTACTGATGAGGAAACTGAGGCTTAGTTTCAGGCCACTTGCCCAAGGTCATGCTACTAATCGATCAATTGTAGAGCTGGGTCTCAAACTCAGTGTCCTTCTGGGATGAACAGTACCATTGGTGCCATTGGTTGACCAGCCTGCGTTGTACCGCATCAACTGCTAAGTTGTGTTGGGACAGAATTTTGGGGGCAGAGGCAGGATTTTTCTGGTAGTGACAGTGCCTTTGAAATCTGGAGGGTTAAAGAAGCACATCCCATTAGTGTGGGTGGGTGAGCATGAGTACTCGATTCCAAAGGAATCCCAGGCTCTACATCAGAGTTAAGGAGAGTTGGAATCAGAACCAGAGAGTGATAGAGGCAGGAAAGGAAACCAGGGTGTGTCGATGCCTCCAGAATATTCTGGTCTTTGTAGCCCAGCCTCTTTCCCCTCTGTCCTCATAAACCTTCCAGGGCTACACTGGTGAGTCTGACACACAGAGTTAGACATTTTATTTTAAATTATCTTCTATATAATTCCATTGGGAGGTCAGCAAAATAGTTTTTGCAGGTTTGGGAAGATTTCCCAGAAGGAAGGGTGTTTTCCAAAGCCCATTGTACGCAACAGGCAGTTAATAGGAACCCAGTGAGACTCTGAGGGCCCCTGAATGCCCTAGCCCAGAGCAGGTAAGTAATAAAAGGTAAAGCAAATGTCCTGTCTACATCTCCGTGCCTTTCTCAGCTTTGGATATTTGTTTCCATGGAAGGGAACTTCTTGTCTTGATCTTACTTCTGAACATGAGGAATCAAGCGGAGCAAGGATGGAGCAACCCAGAAAGCTTTCGTGGCCAGTCCTATTTATAGAATTTTCAAGGTAAAGGGACACTAAATTACAGTTCTCAGCTGATGCATTAATCTCTCCTAGCAATCGTGACATATAGCCTCTTCTTGCATGCTTTCAGTGATAGAGAACTTCTTAGACTACTGATGGAGAAGAGATAGTTTACAGTTAAAAGCAAATAGGCTTTGGAATTAGACAGGTATGGGAAAAAATCCTACTGCCATTCAATACCTGAATCTCTTAATTTTTTAGCAAGTTCCTTGACTTTTGGAGCCTTAAATCTCCCATCTGTGAAACAGAAATGGCTTCCCTTTCTAGTAGGTTGTTGTAAGGATCAAGCCAGGCAGGATAGTTTTATGGTCAAAAGCCTGAGCTGAAGGCAGACTGCCTGAGTTCAAATCTCTCTTCTGCTCAAAACCTGAATATTTCTGAGTGATTTACCTAAACTCTCTTAGGTCTCATGTTGTTTAACTCTAAAATGAAAGTCAGAATACACTATTACCAACCTCATAAGCAGGCTGGGCTGCTGCCAGTTAATACATCACCTGGATATGCATTAGCAAAAGGTCTTCCTTCCTCCAAGTGGACACAGCTCCACACCTGCACTCATGATTCGGCAAGAAGCATGCCTCTCAGCCAAGTGGACCCTTTCCGCAGAACATGCCTGCATAACAGTTCACAGTGACCCTGCTCATGGTGTTACTGCCATGATTAATTCCTGTGAGCCACCCAGAACATTGACTCCTGTAATAAACATTCAACATTAGTAGTTATAATCATGTAAAAGTATCATCTCCTAAGACAGTCCATTTTATGTTGGAGAGCTTGGACTATTTTGTCCCTATACTGTCCGACAAAATCCATCTTCTAACTGCAGATTTCCACACCATGCTCTGTGGCTTCATAGATGAAGTCTAAGCTCTCTTCTGCAACATCACCAGCGGCACTGTTCTTGTAGAAAATTGTTAAAAGGTCCCCAATTCTCCACCTCTCTCTGTATCTGTGGCCTTGGCCATTGGACTTTGCATCTCCTTTGGTCAAGAGTTAGAATCCACTTTCTCATCTCTCGAATCTGGGTTGGCGTTGTGACTTAGCCTTTTGTGCTTCCATTCTTTCTTGGAACTTTGCCACCACCACGTGAACAAGCCCAGGCTAGTCTCCTGGGTGACGGTGGACACATGAGCCACATACCTCCATTGCTTCATTGATAGCCAGGCAGATGCCAGACATGTGAGTGAAAGCATTCCAGACCAGCTGTTCCCCAACTGATGCACTAGATGACCACAGATACAACAGCAAGGCCAGCTGAGATTAGCCGAAGCCTGGCTCACAGACTTGTGAATGAAAATCAACGCTTATTGTTGCATGCCTCTGAAGTTTGGGGGTTATTTGTTATGCTGAAATATTGGGGCACTAGATAACTGATACAGGTCTGGACTTATTGGTGGCTGTGTCCAGACTATGTCCTTACTGCAGATGGAATTCAATCTAGTCCTTGTGATTAATATTTTCCTTTGTCTATGTCCCACTGCCCACCTAGCTCTGCCCTATCCCTGCAGCTAGAGTGATTGTTTGCTCCCCACAATTCTTTCCCTGCCACCTCCTAGATGAGACGGCGGGGACATGACATGTTCTGGAGAAACGCAGCACTGGCCCTGGGGCTTTCTCTTGGCTGGTCTCAATTTCAAAGGACATTTGATTCTGGCACCGCCACACACAGTGCTGGGCTTAATGACATCTCAGTGCTCCCACTGGAAAAACCCTGGTTTTTCCAAGGGTATGTAACTTAGCTATTATGACTCACTCTAGGGTAAAACTGGGCAAACAAGCCTTCCTGCCTGAAGGCAATTTTGATTTTTAAATTATGAAATAAATCATCCTGAGCTTTTATGTTTTTGGGGGGTTGGTTTGTGTTTTTTTCTTTTGCTCCAAACTTCCACTGTAGCTTTCTAGCCTTGGGATTATTTTTCACTTGGCTCTCTTCTCAACCGAACTGTATTTGTTTTGTAAAATGACAAATCACCCCTGTATACTCCAGGCCAGACCTGTACCGGAAGAGCATATGGGCACAGAAGAAGTCAGAAGTAAAGCAACAGAGGTTAGCTTCACTTTACCAGCGGAGCTCAGGGTTCAGCAGGTAGAAGAAAAGGAAGAATTCTCAAGCCATGTAGGTATGAGGACCGGGTTTGAATACACACTTGCCTGATGCTTAAGTCCCTACTGTGGTTGATCTGTTTTTCTTATTATGCCTGGGTATCGGTTTCCTCATTTAAAAAATCTCTCTAGAGTTGTGAAGACCAAACATCTTAAACCTGCAGTTCCCAACCTGTGGGTCAGACACTTCTCCGTGGCTATGGGTTTATTGTTTAGAGGTCTACAGTTGTCTGCAGAATAGACAGATCTGATGTCTCACAAATTCATATGTTCATTTTTTAAAAAATGTATAAAGACTCACCAATGCACATGTGAAATGCTTATTTAATTAACAGGCATAAATTCCATAAATTACTTTAAAGCATCTCCACCTTCATCATAGATTGTAGCCATTAAATACCTTAACAATTAGTGAGTATTAAGTACATCACATCTATCATGGAGGAGGAAATTGGTTACATTTTATTCTAGATTGTGTGTGAAGGAGTCTCTGCACATGAAACCTTCAGGAAGCAATGTTCAGATATGAAAGGAGTAAGGGTGACTGCACATTTGGGCATGGGGAATGTATGTAGGACAAAGTATTTTCCTCTTGGGGATATTGACCAGGTTTGTGGATAGGAATTTAAGGTGGGTGCAAAGGCTGCAAGCCTAGGAAAGCACTAGCAAAATCGTCAATGGCAGGATCCTGATTGACTGGGAACCACAGCCTCCAACCCTAATTATGGTGACAGCTATCCATGTTAAGGAAGACAAGTATCAGTCCAAAACAGGACACAGAACTGGGAGAAGGTGACAGTCTAGCTACTCATTGGAAATTGCCTGTACTGAAGAAGGGACACTGTTCCCAGAGGGCTATGGTTTAAGCAGACATCTCTGCAGAATGTGCATCCTCAGCCAGCCTGCTGTCACGTCATTCAACACCTTGAACCTCCTTCTCCACGTCCTTCCATGATCCCAACAAGTCATCAGCATGCTGATCTCTCACACCCTCTGCTTCCTAGTCTCTGGGGATCCTTTCCTCACCCAGTGTCAGCCATCCACCATTATGGCCCTGCTGTTTCCTGAAGCAGAAATTTAAAATTTTAACACCTCACTTCCCAACCACAACCTCCAGTCATTTCCGTTCTCATTCACATTCTTTTCTCGGAGCCCTCTAATCTTTGACCTTCCACTTTCTTCCTATCCATCAACCTCATCTTGCCTTTCTCTCCTTTTCAAGCCTAACCCCCACGACCCTTCGCTTTGATCTCTCTCTTGCCAATATTTTTAATTTCCTATCTATCTTCATTCTCTTCCTATCTTATCAGCTTATCAAGACTTCCACCTGGGACCACCCATCATTCTGCCCTTTCGAATTCTGAGCTGACATCACCTCTGGGTATATCAATGAACCACACAGACTCAGCCAACAGAAAACCATGGAGAAGAGATCTTGTTATCATTACTGAAATTTTGATTTTAAATGGAAAGTTTGTTTTCAGCCAAGAAAAAGCTGGTGAGAAAGAAGCAAATGAACCAAGTATTTGTTTATGTACTTCACATTACAAGGCTGGTTAAATGATTTTATTCATTAGTAATTAGTCTATTCAACAGCACTGTGAAGTAGGTATTATTGCTCTCATTGTTTATATTAATCAGAGTGACACTAGGAATACTGCTAATAATGGTAACTTGCATTTCTTGGGCATTTTCCCGGTGCTAGGATCTGTGAACACCAAGGTAAATTTCACTCAGATTTGATTTTCAAGTACAGATGAGGAAATTAATGCTCAGTAAGTCCATGTGACTTGCTATTGTCAGACAGCCTGGGCTTGGCCATCTGATTAAAAAATCAGTGGGCTTTGCATAATACTAAGCTGCTATAGGTCATGGGGCTCAGATTGGAGAAGAAATATGAAATATTTCCAAATGTGAACCTGAAAGAGCCAGTTCTTCAAAATGAATCCCAAGAGCCTAACTGAGCCTAAATTTAAAATAGTCAAGCAGTCATTTGCTAATTAGAGGTCACACATATCTTTTAGTTCCCAGAAAACTCATTCCTCGGGTTTAAGGTTGGGACCTTCAGAACTCCCAAATGTCTAATTTGGGAACTAACCAATCAGAGCTCACCTGCCTTGGCCAATCAGGGATCAACTATATCAACCAATTAGAACTAAGCAAGTTTGAATGCTTCATTTGCATAAATGAACCTGATTGGGAACCTGGGTGTGAATTTTCTCTATAAAAGCAAAACTCTCCCTTTGTTCTCTGGATGGCACCTTTCCTTTACATTGAAGGTTGCATCTTCCAAGTTTGCAATCACTTCTCTGGAATAAAGTCTCTTTCCTCAAAATTCCTTTTTAGAGAACTTTTGTTCACATGTGCCCAGGGTAACAAAGCTAGGAAGTGGTAAGCTTGGGAGTTAACCTAGACTGGTTTACTCTCATATTGCTTATGTGGTCAGATTCACCAAATTGGATTTTGTTTCTTCAGATTTTTCTTTTGCTTTTACCAAAGTTACACTGCAGTAAAGTAACTGCTTCCCTTTTTCTCAGACTAAACTTTTTACAGCCCCAATATTTATTTATTGGTGCTTCCAACACACCCTATTATATTCTGCAAATTTATATTCTGCAAATCACTATTTGGTGGATATTTACAAATTCTCTACAAATGGCTTGTATGTGAAGACCTCAGTCATGACCTCAGCCTGGTGGGCACCAGTTCCACTTTCTCAGAGCAGTGGATTTGGGGGCCAGTGTGGCCTCTGTTTGCATCTGAGGGAGGGTGGCCTCGAGACAGATACCTGGGGTGAGAGTTACTGCTGTGGTTTCAGTCCATTTCTTGGAAGATGTCCTGGCTTCTCCAACTGGTGGACTCCTTGTCCTTCCCTAACAACGTGTCTCTAATGTTTGTGTGACTCTGGGTCATAGTTCCTTCTGTTTCATGTACCATGAATGCTGTTTCTTGACTCTTTGCATGTAAAAACTCACTCAAAGCCTAGCTCAAATGTTACATTTATTTTCTGGGTTTTTATAGTCCTTTGACTAACTCTTCACCTTTCTTCATGTGGGCACAGTTTTTCTGAAGTATACAGTTAGTTGAGGAGTGTTTGTCAGTCTCTCAACTTCAAATCTCTGCTACTAGCTATGCAATACTGAGAAGGCCACTTAATCCTTCCATGCCTATGTTTCTGTGTTGATAATTTTGGAGATGATATTTACTTCATGGCTAAGAATGTTATGCAGCAATGTTGGTTGTGAAAGTGCTTGGCAGATTAGAAGGTGTGGTATTCACTGCTGGGTGGCTGATCCAACCTTTATTCCCAATTCTTTCCTCCCTGGCTTCCTTTTACTCTATAGGCTAGAAATGCTAAATGCTCACTCTCCAGCTTCCCTTGCAGCTAAGGCTGGCTATGGAACCTAGGAAGAACCAAAGGAGCACACACGGAGGTCCTCTGGGAGGCTCTGCACAGTGCTTGAAGTGAAAGCAGTTATATGATAGCAATGCAACAAGTTAACACAAAAACAATGATCTCTAGCCTTTTTGTCATGTGATATAACTAATGTCTTTAAGCCACTATTATTTGTGTATTCCATTACTTGTGGTTAAAAAGCATTCCTGATAGTGTAGATTCCCAATAAGTGTTTACTGAATATGAATCTGTATTGCATTGTGAGTCTTGGGGGCAAAATTCAATAAAATTATCATCTCTGCTCTCTACAGTTTTTAGTGTTTGTGTCAGTTTCTCAACGTCAAATCTCTGGTATTGACAAGGGCATTTAATCCTTCCATGCCTCTGGATTGTTACACAGGTGGGCTCAAACCATGTTGAGTGGAATTATATTCTCTTTCTTCCTCCCAATTACGAAACCTGAGTACATCTACCCAATCTCCCTCCTTCTAGTCTTTGCTCCAATCTATCTTATCTTTTCGTACAGACACCAGACTGATGACAACATTTTCTCTTCTCTAAATTCTTCAATAATTCCCCATGGGTTTCACATTAAAGTCAAAAATACATGTATAAGGTGATCAAGTTTCTCAACAACTTAATTCTGATCTACATTTTCAACCTCACCTTGCATTGCATCTTTACGTCCTCAGTGCCACACACTCATTTTTTTTAATTGTCCTTTCTTTAAGCAGACATGTTCCCACATTTTTCCCCAGAACTTAGAATACCTCTGCCTCCTCTCTATTCATCCCAACTACTTCCTTTAAGGTAGAATGAAGCTCTACTATCATATCTATTCATCCTGACCAGCAGGAACGCAGGCTTGCTTTAAAAGGGGTAAGATGGATAGGAGAGACATTAAAAGAGAAAATCAATGGGATGTGGAGGCTGATAATTGAGCCAAAACGAGAATTCAGCCTGATGAAACAGAAAGGGCCAGTGAATAAGTTCATACATTTGCAAGAATTTTTAAAAGGCTACCACTAAATCTACTCATTCATTCCAGCAGGAGTAAATCACCAATCACCACCATAGACTTATATCTTGCAAAGCTATGGAATCAATCAGAAGCTTTTTGTTTTTTGGCAAAACACATCTCAGATTACTAAACTGTAACTGTTGTGCTGAGTTTCCACCTGGCTAGAACCCTTCCTCCCACACGGCTCCAGAAAAACGTGATGAAGAACCATATTATCCCTAATTGAAAAATTGTTCTTGCACCTGCGAGTTGTAAACTTTCTGCTTCAATGGGGGCCACGTGCCCATTTACGTGAGGGCTGCTAGAAATACACAGGCACACAGGGCCAGCCTCTTGGCTCCTGCAGTGTGTTGGTTGTTTACTGTCATTGCTCAGAGGGGTGTGAGTGAACATATGCACATTTTTGCTTCTTTCTTTCTTTGGGGAAAGGAAGTGAAGGCACCTGAGCACATAAAACTGCAGTCCAAGTTCACATACAGAGAGTGAGGGAAAGTTCACCTAAAGTAATTCATGTCTTTTGTGATCAGAAATTCATCTGGAAGGGAAAATTTCAGGAACATCCAACTGCCAAGCAATTTCTCTTCTGTCCAAAAAATGTGTGAAAATGGCATTAAGTGTGTTAGCAATGGGAAATGGAAAGCACCAATACTTAATAAACAACTGTGTGCAAGGTGTTTTGCATACTTTCTGCTATGGTTTGAATATCTGTCTCCTCCAAAATTCATGTTGAAATTTAATCCCCAATGTGGCAGTATTGAGAAGTGGGACCTTTAAGAGGTGATTGGAACATGAGGGCTCTGCCCACATAAGTGAGTTAATCCATTAATGGATTAACGGGTTATCATGGAAGGGGAAGACACACTTGAGATCATATGCTCAGCCCCCTCACCATGTGATGCCTGGGGCCACCTTGGGACTCTTCAGAAGAGTCCCCACCAGCAAGGAGGCCCTCACTGGATGTGGCCCCTCAACTTTACACCTTTCAGCCTTTAGGGCTATAAGAAAGAAATTCGTTTTCTTATGAATTACCCCATTTTAGGTATTCCATTATAAGCAACAGAAACTGGACTAAGGCACTTTAAAGTTTGTGATAAGCTTATCTTTGTGATAAACTGAGAGGAGAGGAAAGCATTATACTTCCCATTTCATAGATTTAAAAAGCGAGGCACTGTGAGCTGAAGTCTTACCTGGAGCAAGCTGGTAGAGAATGGTGAAGCTGGCTTTCGTACCCATGACAGGCGGATGCCCCAGTCACTTTCAGTCATCCAACTGGTAGACATTGAGGGCCTGTAATGTGCCAGGCACCAATCTACAACACATCCGGAAATATATGAGACTGAACACAATGTGTATAACCTTAGGAAATCAAAGACAAGCTGTACAAGTATTTGGCATTTGACTGTGCGGTTCTTTAGGCAGAGTCATGGTCCAGAGGGGTTAATTAACTTTCCCAAGGTCACAGAGCTAGTAAGCAACAGCATTTGAACTCTAGTTTATTCTGGCTTCAACTCCATGCCCCTTTATTGGATGCAGGACTCAACCTGCCTGCTCCTCAGCCAGTAGACTTGTGTCTCATTTCTGTACCACACAGCCCTTTCCCTCAAGGCTCTCCCAAGTCTAAGCTATATTTTCCCATGTTTCAGCCCTTCACTGCCTACTGGGTGGTTATTAACTGATTCAATAAATTACTCTGTGCCAAGGTTTTAATGGGTACCTTAATGTCATGTGGAGCCCAGATAGCATACTTGCATTTTTAACAGCGGCTTTTAATTCAGACCCATTCACCTTAGCTTAATTCAACAAATGCGATCAGGGTAGCTGTGTACAAGGCACTTTGCTTTGTGCTATGGGGATGTAAAATAGAAAAGGCTCGGAGTTTCTCTTCAAAGAAACCCCAGGCTTTAGGGCAGGGGTGGGAGGGAATGTAATAAGAAACCTGAATACACAGAAAAATAATGCCAAGTAAAATTTTAGAAGCATGTTTTAGGAGCACAAGGAGGATACATTTTGGCTTAACCCAAATAAATGACTAAAGGCTTCGGATTAAAAAAATAAGGGCCCTTGTCTCCTAACCCATGAAAAAAGAAACCAAAATCCAAGTTCAGAAGTGTAAGACAGGGGTAATCTAGCCTCACAGAACATGTGTCAATGGGACTTAGGGACCAGAGTTTCCCAGCGAACTACCATCAAGAACACTACAACAGCCTCCTAATTGGTTTTTGGCCTTCAGCCTTGACTCTTCTGATCTATTCGCTCCTCTGGGGCGAGCTTAGGGAAACTCAGTTCTGATCCTCCTGTTTAAAACCCTGCAGTTACTTTCTGTTTCTGTTAGAATAACACTGAACCCTCTGGACAAATGTGAAGTGGTTGCACAAATAAGTAAGTAAAGCTTCAGGGACTGGTTCTGTTCTGGCTCATCCATGCACAGTTACATAACACCTAGAATATTGTGTCTATCATGGGTCCTGCGCTGTAAGAGGGATAGAGACAAATCTGAGTCCATGCAGAAGATTCTACTAGGATGTTGAAAGTGCTTAATTTAACTGGTGTCATAGGAGGAGAGATAAACAACCAGTAGATGTTTGAATGAGAAGACTAAGAGATGGGACAGTGCGTGGGAGTGCAAAGACTGAAGGGTTAAATTAGGCCTTCAATTAGGCCTGAAAGAAGAAGGGAGAGTCTTGTCCTTGCTCATCTTAGAAAGAAGTACCAAGGTCAAATGATAAAGGTTAGAGAGAGTAAGACTGTGGCTTCATCCAAGAATGTCCCAAAGATCAGAGCTGCTCCAATATGTGCAGAGAAGAGTATTTGGAGACAGCAGTTGAGGGTTCTTTTTCTGATACCCCAGACTCACCTTGCACAACCAGACTTGCTTTCCTACTGCTACTGCGAATGTGGCCTAGAACCAAGGACACAACTGAGATCCTGAATGGATATGAACTTCCAGAAGAGCCAGAAGTCTTGAAAAACAAGACTTTCATTATTGTTGTTGTTTTGAGAAATAAAGTAAGTTTTAAAAAAAATTCTGAACGCTTAGCTTTGAATATCAACAAGAAAGTCTTTCTCATGGAATTTATGCCAGAATCAATAGTTTGGGAAGAAAACATGACGGCATAAGAGCTAATCTTACCATAGTTCATTAATACATTTATTCAGGAAATATTTATAGAGCACTTACTATTTGCTAGGCTTTATTCTAGACACTTGGAAAACAGAAATAAATAAAACAAAGATTCTTGCCCTCATGGAACTAGCAACTGGTAGGGTGGACAGACAGCAAAAAATAAACTTAAATCCTAAGTTAATAATGTGCTGTTTAGAAGCTGAGAAGATCTATGGAGAAAATGCAGTAGAGTGAAAGAATAGGAATGCTGCCTGGAAGGGAGCTGCAAGTTAAGAAATGGTGGTCAGCGTGGGACTCATTGAGAAGCTGAGATCTGAGCCACAGCTTGAAGATGTGGGAGTTAGTTATTTGGATAATTGAAGGAGGAGTGTTTCAGGTGGAGGAAATAGCTGGTAGAAAGGCTGAAATGCAAGAGTGTGGTCAGCACGTTTGTATTAAAGAGGAGCAAGGAGGCCCCTGTGGCTGGCAGGAGCAAGTGAAGGGGAGAGCAAAGGAGATGAGGTCAGAGAGGTAAGCAGGGCCCAGGGGAGGTTTATTAACGGCCTTATAAGTTAGCATGAGGACCTGGCTCTTTCTCTGAGGGACATGGGAAGCTATTGGAGGGTTTAGATCTGAGGAGTGATGTAATCTAACTTAGGTTTTAATAGTGTCACTCTGGCTGCAGTTGAGCATAAACTGTAAGAGACCGAGAATGACAGTGGGGAAGCCAGTTAGGTACAATTGCAATAAACCAAGCAAGAGATGGGCTGGGCATGGTGGCTCACACCGGTAATCCCAACACTGGAAGGCTGAGGTGGGTGGATGACCTGAGGTCAGGAGTTCAAGACCAGCCTGGCCAACATGGCAAAATTCCCTCTGCACTAAAAATACAAAAATTAGCTGGGTATGATGGCATGCGCCTGTAATCCCAGCTACTCGGGAGGCTGAGGTAGGAGAATCGCTTGAACCCAGGAGGCAGAGGTTGCAGTGAGCCAAGACCCCGCCATTGCACTCCAGCCTGGGTGACAGAGTGAGACTTCACCTCAAAAAAAAAAAAAAAAAAAAAAAGATAGCTGTGGCTCAGAAGAGATGATGCTATGGGGATGGGAAGATGAGGTCAGAGCCTGGAGGTATTTTGGTCGTACAGCCATGAGGATTCCCTGATGAAATGGGCAGATGTTGTGAGAAAAAAATTAGAGGAGTTGAGTATAATTGAAAGGTTTTGACTTTAAAGTCACTCTCCATGGAGATGGGGAAGACTGAGTGGAGGTGAAGTTAGAGGGGAGAGATTAGCAGTCCAGTTTTGGACAATTTAGGTTTGAGTTGCTCATTAGACCTCCACATGGAGATGTTGAACACACAGAAGTCAGGAAGTCAGGATTTCAGAACAGAAGTCTGGTCTGAAGGCATGAATATGGACTGGGTTTACAGAGAAGTCTTCCTTCCCCTTACCCTGTAGTTGCATTCCTAGAAAACCCAACGTATAATAAAGCAATGTTAAAAAAGGTATTTACTTGGAGTTAGACTATCTAAGCTCAGATCTTTATAAACAGTGAGAGAGTAACACAGGACAGAGAAGGATTCTTTGTGTGGGACTATCTCCAACATTGCAGGGCAACCTGTATCCCTGGCTCCCACCCAGTAGAAGCCAGCTATTGCCCCCAGTCACAGTAACAACTACAAAATGCTTGTGTACATCTCCAAAATATACCCTGAAGGGGTTGTGGCATTTCCCTGGTTGAAAATCTCTGCTCTGCATACTCTTCTCCACGCTTTAAAAACAATGTGTACACTGGTGGCTCCCAAATCTGTATTTCCAGGCTGGATCTTTCTTGCATATTAGAGCCCGTAGAATTCTAGACACTTCTGCTTGAATGTCTTGCAGGCAACTCAAGCTCAACATGTCCAAAGCTGCATTTATCTTATCTTTCTGTGTCCCTAACAAATCTGATTCCTTTTCATTTTTTCTTAATGTTGTGCACCCAGCCACCTAGTTGCCCAAATCAGAAATTAAGGCATTGTATTCTTGGCTATTCCTTCTCCCTCAGCTCTAACCCCTAAATCAGTCAATCACCAAGTCTCATCATTTATACCCTCTATAGCTCACCAAAGCACCCACTTTCCTCCAACCCTGCTGTCATTATCCAAGTCTAGCTTACCATCTGGAACACCACAACAGCCTTCTAACTAGTTTCTTGTCTTTAGTCTTGATTCCTTCTATTCATTCTCTCCTCTGGAGAACTGGGGTGAGCTTTGGGAGGTTCAGGTCAAATCGTTAATGTTCTGCTTAAGAGCCAGAAGTTGCTCTTCATTAGCTTTAAGATGAACCGCAAAACTTTGGACAGTTGCACATTCTTTCATCTACTCTTCCGTCTGCATTATATTTGGGTAACTCCCAGTTATCCATTATTCTCAGCTATACATATTTTTCTTCAGAAGGCATTCCTGATTGCCTGATTTCAAGTACTGGTTAAAATTCTATTTTGAACACTTATACACTGTTAATGGGAGTGTAAATTAGTTCAACCATTGTGGAAAACACTGTGACAATTCATCAAAGACCTAAAAAAGAAATACCATTTGACTCAGCAATCCCACTACTTAGTATATACCCAAAGAAATAGAAATTATTGTATTATAAGCAGGATATTATCCAGGAGAACTTCCCCAATCTAGCAAGGCAGGCCAACATTCAAATTCAGGAAATACAGAGAAAGCCACAAAGATACTCCTCGAGAAGAGCAACTCCAAGACACATAATTGTCAGATTCACCAAAGTTGAAATGACGGAAAAAATGTTAAGGGCAGCCAGAGAGAAAGGTCGGGTTACCCACAAAGGGAAGCCCATCAGACTAACAGCTGATATCTTGGCAGAAACTCTACAAGCCAGAAGACAGTGGGGGCCAATATTCAACATTCTGAAAGAAAAGAATTTTCAATCCAGAATTTCATATCCAGTCAAACTAAGCTTCATAAGTGAAGGAGAAATAAAATACTTTACAGACAAGCAAATGCTGAGAGACTTTGTCATCACCAGGCCTGCCCTACAAGAACTCCTGAAGGAAGCACTAAACATGGAAAGGAACAACCGGTACCAGCCACTGCAAAAATACACCAAATTGTAAAGACCATCAATGCTAGGAAGAAAGTGCATCAACTAACGAGCAAAATAACCAGCTAACATCACAATGGCAGGATCAAATTCACACATAACAATATTAACCTTAAATGTAAATGGGCTAAATGCTCCAATTAAAAGACACAGACTGGCAAATTGGATAGAGTCAAGACCCATCAGTGTGCTGTATTCAGGAAACCCATCTCACATGCAGAGACACACATAGGCTCAAAATAAAGGGATGGAGGAAGATCTACCAAGCAAATGGAAAACAAAAAAAGGCAGGGGTTGCAATCCTAGTCTCTGATAAAACCAACTTTAAGCCAACAAAGATCAGAAGAGACAAAGACCATTACATAATGGTAAAGGGATCAATTCAACAAGAAGAGCTAACTATCCTAAATATATATGCACCCAATACAGGAGCACCCAGATTCATAAAGCAAGTCCTTAGAGACCTACAAAGAGACTTAGACTCCCACACTATAATGATGGGAGACTTTAACACCCCACTGTCAACATTAGACAGATCAACGAGACAGAAAGTTAACAAGGGTATCCAGGAATTGAACTCAGCTCTGCACCACGTGGACCTAATAGACATCTACAGAACTCTCCACCCAAAATCAACAGAATATACATTCTTCTCATCTCCACAACGCACCTACTCCAAAATTGACCACATAGTTGGAAGTAAAGCACTCCTCAGCAAATGTAAAAGAACAGAAATTATAACAAACTGTCTCTCAGACCACAGTGCAATCAAACTAGAACTCAGGATTAAGAAACAACCACTCGACTACATGGAAACTGAACAACCTGCTCCTGAATGACTACTGGGTACATAACAAAATGAAGGCAGAAATAAAGATGTTCTTTGAAACCAATGAGAACAAAGACACAACATACCAGAATCTCTGGGACACATTCAAAGCAGTGTGTAGAGGGAAATTTGTAGCACTAAATGCCCACAAGAGAAAGCAGGAAAGATCTAAAATTGACACCCTAACATCACAATGAAAAGAACTAGAGAAGCAAGAGCCACACATTCAAAAGCTAGCAGAAGGCAAGAAATAACTAAGATCAGAGCAGAACTGAAGGAGATAGAGACACAAAAAACCCTTCAAAAAATCAATGAATCTAGGAGCTGGTTTTTTGAAAGGATCAACAAAATTGATAGAACACTAGCAAGATGAACAAAGAAGAAAAGAGAGAAGAATCAAATAGACACAATAAAAAACGATGAAGGGGATATCAGCACCGATCCCACAGAAATACAAACTACCATCAGAGAATACTATAAACACCTCTACGCAAATAAACTAGAAAATCTACAAGAAATGGATAAATTCCTTGACACATACACCCTCCCAAGACTAAACCAGGAAGAAGTTGAATCTCTGAATAGACCAATAACAGGCTCTGAAATTGAGGCAATAATTAACAGCTTACCAACCAAAAAATGTCCAGGACCAGATGGATTCACAGCCGAATTCTACCAGAGGTACAAGGAGGAGCTGGTACCATTCCTTCTGAAACTATTCCAATCAATAGAAAAAGAGGGGATCCTCCCCACCGCATTTTATGAGGCCAGCATCATCCTGATACCAAAGCCTGGCAGAGACACAACAAAAAGAGAGAATTTTAAACCAATATCCCTGATGAACATCGATGCAAAAATCCTCAATAAAATACTGGCAAACCAAATCCAGCAGCACATCCAAAAGCTTATACACCATGATCAAGTGAGCTTCATCCCTGGGATGCAAGGCTGGTTCAACATATGCAAATCAATAAACATAATCCAGCATATAAAAAGAACGGATGACAAAAACCATATGATCATCTCAATAGATGCAGAAAAGGCCTTTGACAAAATTCAACAGCCCTTCATACTAAAAACTCTCAATAAATTAGGTATTGATGGGAAGTATCTCAAAATAATGAGAGCTATCTATGACAAACCCACAGCCAATATCATACTGAATGAGCAAAAACTGGAAGCATTCCCTTTGAAAACTGCCACAAGACAGGGATGCCCTCTCTCACCACTCCTATTCAACATAGTGTTGGAAGTTCTTGCCAGGGTAATCAGGCAGAAGGAAATAGAGGGTATTCAATTAGGAAAAGAGGAAGTCAAATTGTCCCTGTTTGCAGATGACATGATTGTATATTTAGAAAACCCCATCATCTCAGCCCAAAATCTCCTTAAGCTGATAAGCAACTTTAGCAAAGTCGCAGGATACAAAATCAATGTGCAAAAATCACAAGCATTCTTATATACCAATAACAGACAAACAGAGAGCCAAATCATGAGTGAACTCCCATTCACAATTGCTTCAAAGAGAATAAAATACCTAGGAATCCAACTTACAAGGGATATGAAGGACCTCTTCAAGGAGAACCACAAACCACTGCTCAATGAAATAAAAGAGGATACAAACAGATGGAAGAACATTCCATGCTCATGGATAGGAATAATGAATATTGTGAAAATGGCCATACTGCCCAAGGTAATTTATAGATTCAATGCCATCCCCATCAAGCTACCAATGACTTTCTTCACAGAATTGGAAAAAACTACTCTAAAGTTCATATGGAACCAAAAAAGAGCCCGCATCACCAAGTCAATCCTAAGCCAAAAGAACAAAGCTGGAGGCATCACGCTACCTGACTTCAAACTATACTACAAGGCTACAGTAACCAAAACAGCAAGGTACTGGTACCAAAACAGAGATATAGACCAATGGAACAGAGCAGAGCCCTGAGAAATAGTGCCACATATATACAACTATCTGATCTTTGACAAACCTGACAAAAACAAGAAATGGGGAAAGGATTTCCTATTTAATAAATGGTGCTGGGAAAACTGGCTAGCCATATGTAGAAAGCTGAAACTGGATCCCTTCCTTACACCTTATACAAACATTATTAAAGGTGGATTAAAGACTTAAATGTTAGACCTAAAACCACAAAAACCCTAGAAGAAAACCTAGGCAATACCATTCAGGATATAGGCATGGGCAAGGATTTCATGTCTAAAACACCAAAAGCAATGGCAACAAAAGCCAAAATTGACAAATGGGATCTAATTAAACTAAAGAGCTTCTGCACAGCAAAAGAAACTACCATCAGAGTGAACAGACAACCTACAGAATGGGAGAAAATTTTTGCAATCTACTCATGTGACAAAGGGCTAATATCCAGAGTCTACAAAGAACTCAAACAAATTTACAAGAAAAAGCAAACAACCCCATCAACAAGTGGGCAAAGGATATGAACAGACACTTCTCAAAAGAAGACATTTATGCAGCCAAAAGACACATGAAAAAATGCTCATCAACATTGGCCATCAGAGAAATGCAAATCAAAACCACAATGAGATACCATCTCACACCAGTTAGAATGGCGATCATTAAATAGTCAGGAAACAACAGGTGCTAGAGACGATGTGGAGAAACAGGAACACTTTTACACTGTTGGTGGGACTGTAAACTAGTTCAACCATTGTGGAAGTAAGTGTGTCAATTCCTCAGGGGTCTAGAACTAGAAATACCATTTGACCCAGTGATACCATTACTAGGTATATACCCAAAGGAATATAAATCATGCTGCTATAAAGACACATGAACATGTATGTTTATTGTGGCACTATTCACAATAGCAAAGACTTGGAACCAACCCAAATGTCCAACACTGACAGACTGGATTAAGAAAATGTGGCACATATATACCATGGAATACTATGCAGCCATAAAAAATGAGTTCATGTCCTTTATAGGGACATGGATGAAACTGGAAATCATCATTCTCAGCAAACTATCGCAAGGACAAAAAACCAAACACCGCATGTTCTCACTCATAGGTGGGAATTGAACAATGAGAACACATGGACACAGGAAGGGGAACATCACACACCGGGGCCTGTTGTGGGGTGGGGGGAGGAGGGAGGGATGGCATTAGGAGATATACGTAATGCTAAATGACGAGTTAATGGGTGCAGCACACCAACATGGCACATGTATACATAGTATACATATGTAACAAACCTGCATGTTGTGCACATGTACCCTAAAACATAAAGTATAATAAAAAAAAGACATATGCACATATATGATTATTGCAGCACTATTCACAATAGCAAAGACATGGAATCAACCTAAATGCTCATCAATGGTAGACTGGCTAAAGAAAATGTGGAGTATATACATCATGGAACACTATGCAGCCATAAAAAAAACAATATCATGTCCTTTGCGGGAACATGGATACGGCTGGAGGCCATTATCCTTAGCAAACTAACGCAGGAACAGAAAACCAAATACCACACATACTCACTCGTAAGTGGGAGCTAAATGATGAGAACACATGGATACAAAGAGGGGAACAACAGACACTGAGGCCTATTGGAGGGTGAAGGGTGGGAAGAGGGAGAGGCTCAGGAAAAAAACTAATGAGTACTAGCCTTAATAATTGGGTGATGGAATCGTCTGTACAACAAACCCTTATGACACAAGTTTACCTATATAACAAACCCGCACATGTACCCATGAACTTAAAAGTTAAAAAAAAATTAAAAACATTTATATATTTTCAAAGTGTCCTGATTGTCTCTAGAACATTTATGTTTTTCCATTATAATTGCTTTTATTTGTCCATCTTTTCACTCAATTGTCAATAACATGAAGGCAGAAAATCTTGGTCTTGTTTCCTGCTGTCTCTCCAGTCCCTGGAGTATGGAAGGTGTTTTTTTTTTCTTTCTTTTTTTTTTTTTTTTGACTGAGTGGGAATAAATGGTTAAATGGTTGGATAGCAGGATCTGTAGATGCATGGATGAATGATGAATTCAGAGACAGTATTATTCAAAATAACCCTATGGGACATGGGCACCTCCCAGTCAGAATGGATGCTGGCTTCTAAAAGAAAAAATACAACCCAAACCATAATCTACTTACTGAATATCAGACCTAGACGGATGGATGAATGGAACGCAGACCTGGGAAATAGAGAAAAGTGAAAATATTGACAAATGAGATCAGAAAGACTCATTGGGGTCCTTCAGAGAAGACTTGCAAAAGACATACTGATGCGCACATCTGGCTATGATAGTATAGTAGGAATTCTTATCCTATGGTCTACGCTGGTGTTCAGTGTCCACAAGCCCTCTGCATTTGCAGACAACTTTCTCATCAAGCTTTTGTATTTTCACGGCATGTGGCTCCATAGCTTTTATTAGGTTTCCAGAGGGGTCTATGACCTAGAAGAAGGTTAAGACCACTGCTTTGAAAACACTAGATCTTCAAAGCTAACCCTGCTCTGTCTTTGAAGCTTTGCCCACCATGGTGGCTTTGAAGCTGAAAAGGCCATTCTCAAAGGTTTTCATGTTAAAGCAGGGGGCCTGAGCTTTTTCTGAAGTCTCCTGAGAATGAGCCTAGCAGGTGTAGCAGTGAGGCGGGTGCTGGTTCTGAACATGCAAGTCAGTGAGGGGTGGTGGGGGGCAGGTGCAATGGTACCACTGATCACGGTCTGCTCTCTATCAGGAATCCTTATGAATCCTGGAGAAGTGGAAAGCATGTGAGAGCAGCAACCAGCAGGCAGATCAAATCTGTTAAACTTTGAATGTATTGGCCAGAAGTGGTGGTTCATACCTGTAATCCTTGCACTTTGGGAGGCCAAGGCGGGTGGATCAGACC
This sequence comes from Homo sapiens, assembly GCF_000001405.40. Taxonomy (NCBI): domain Eukaryota; kingdom Metazoa; phylum Chordata; class Mammalia; order Primates; family Hominidae; genus Homo; species Homo sapiens. The sequence goes on along the minus strand of NC_000022.11, from coordinate 34,744,039 downwards.
AGCCTGGCCAACATGGTGAAACCCCATCTCTACTAAAAATACAGAAAATTAGCTGGGTGTGGTGGTGGGTGCCTTTAATCCTAGCTTCTTGGGAGCCTGAGGCAGGAGAATCGCTTGAACCCGGGAGGCAGAGGTTGCAGTGAGCCGAGATTGCGTCACTGGACTCCAGCCTGGACAACAGGAGCAAAACTCCGTCTCAAAAAAAAAAAAAAAAAGAAAAAAGGGAAGCAAAAAAACCTTTGAATACATTGAAGATTCTGTAGGTAGTTTTAGAAAAGATCATCTGGAGGCCCCAGTTCCAGTCTAGAGTAGGCACAAAAGGGTGCCAGACCCAAAAAAGTAGATGTTAAGACAGTTGACAAGGTCCCTCACAGAATAGTACTGGTGGTTGGACTGACTTGGTAGTGATGAGCTGGTGGTTTGGGGGAGGAGGAGGTGCCTTTTCTGCTACTCACATTGTGAATTAAAAATTCTGCTATGATGTCTAGCCTCAGCCTTCCTCCAGAACGATTTGATACACTATAAACATATGTACATATTCATATATGCATTTCTTTTTCAAGGAATTGCAGAACTAACTATCGTTTTATAAATACACTTGTTTCTATACAATTTTAAATGAAATCAGACTTGCACAGCTCAACCATGGCCTCAGGGTGCCTTGGAATAACCAATCTGGAAAAGCCAGATCGGCCCTATAAGGTGCAGCCTTCCTTGTTTCCAAGGCAAATGCTTGGCATTCTCTAGCCATTGTTCTATACCCATTCACATCCCTCCTTAGGTTAAGTTATTCAGTCATTTATGCACATGCTAACACTACACGCATGCACGCTCACACACACACACACACACACACACGAGAAATGATTCTCTCCATTAATTTTTCATCAAGACAATAACCCTTTGCTTTGAGAGGACCCAAAATGGAAGTTTTCAAGCAGATAAAATTCTATCCTTTTAAGAAATGATGTCAGGTTCCTGTAGCTGGTTGGAGGGAGGAGAGGGCAAAGGCTGGGCTCCCTGGATGTTTGCAACTGTGACCTGCAGCTGCTGAGATTTCTTTTTAAAAGCACAGGCCCATGGACTTCAGTTAACTTCCTTGATTTAACCTGGTTATAGATAATGAAGCAACTAAGTCTTCAGCAGAGGTGATTCTTTTTGGTGTGGTCTGGCCATCCAATATCCCATGGTACTTGGGATCCTCCTCTGCCCCTCAGTCTCTCACGTATTTTAATTCTGTGTGTCTCCCTTTTGCATGGTGGCTTTCTTGGCATTGGAGAAATTTTTCTTTAATGTCATCTTGGCAGGGATCTCAGCTCTCTGACCAGGGCAAACCCCAGAGGCCCTCCTTTGTGTGCTTGTGTATGTGAGATTCCCATTTAATAGTCATTCTGTAACCATCCCTCTGGAATTTACAGCACACATAGGGTGAGAAGGATAGATAAGATTGCTTACTTAGTATTCTTTTTTCCCTTATTTTATTTTTTTGAAATGGGTTCTTGCTCTGTTGCCCAGGCTGGAGTGCAGAGGCACAATCTCAGCTCTCTGCAACCTCCGCCTCCTGTGCTCGAGCAATTCTCCTGCCTCAGCCTCCCGAGTAGCTGGGAGTATAGGCACATTCCACCACGACCAGCTAATTTTTTTATTTTTAGTAGAGACGGAGTTTCACCATATTGGCCAGGCTGGTCTCGAACTCCTGACCTCATGATCTGCCCACCTCGGCCTTCCAAAGTGCTGGGATTACAGGCGTGAGCCACTGCACCTGACCTAGTATTCTTTAAGGGACAAAGAAAGGCTCTCTAAGTCCCTAACCACAACTCTTGTAGAAGTTCCTGAGGTGTCTTTTAGGGTTCAGAGTCCCTCATTCCACAGGAAGGAATAAGAGTAAAGATGGAGATGTACCCCATGTAAATTTATTTTTGAAAGATACACAAGGAAGGGAATGGGGTTATCTGACAAGGGGAAGATGCAGTGATGTCTGGGAGTGCTCAAATCGCTGTTAGGAGTTGGGAGGAGTGGTGCCAGTCTGTGTGGCCTGGGGTAGCTGGGTTGCACAAAGCAGAAGAAGTACAAAAAGCCATTTCCAGACAGAGCAGAGTTGGCACTTCTCCAGGATAGGAGTGTCACAGAAGGGCAATGGAGAAAGTGAGATGTTCTCCAGGCAAAGCAGGGAACCAGCTGCTGAAGTGCCAGGGGCAGCATTCCTGCTTCAGGTGGGAGCTTTGAAAAGATAATCTTTGAAAGCTCTACCACATGTGAGATTTTATAAGAATCCCTGATACCTACTGAGAGCTATAAAGCGTTAAGGGAGAAAAAAAATGAAGAACTTTGAGGTTCTGAAAAGAAGCTGGGGAGGGTGGCAGGAAGGGTTCTGGGCACTGGAGCTGAGCTTTGCTTGCTGTACTTCCCAAAGGGCTAAGAGTGCACACTCTGCAGACAGACAGGCCTGGGATCAGATCCCCAAGTCTCCTTCATGGTGATATAGAGAAGACTCAGGGTAGCAGGAATGGTATGCTCGGTTTAATAACAAAAATGAGGAGAGGACTCCAAAGAAGAGCAGCATGGGTAAATTTTATTTACAAGCAAGCATTAGTGTTGTTATCAAATCCAATAATCTAACCTTTACAACTCTGCACCAACATTTCCCAACAGCGGTGCTAGGTTTTATGATCTGTCTTTTAGATAGAAATCAATCACTTTAACTTCCCAATAGACCAACACTGATGCATGTGTGATCTCGCCCATGTATGAATGGAGCACATAATAAATGGGCACACCTCTACACCACTCAAGTGAGTTGGGGATGTCACCCAAAATCTCCCAGTTTGCTACCTTATCTCTAACATGCAAATCATATATATGGCGGTTATAAGTGTCAGGGGTTCAGGTGTGTTTCAACTATTCTAAAATGATCTCTTCTTTCTTCTGGGAAGGAGGCTACAGACATGAAGCAAGAACCAAAGAAGAGAGCCAAGCAGCTGTTTTATTGAGCAACATTTTAAAAGAGAACTAGAACCCATGTTCAGGAGATACAAAAGTAAGAGTCCTTCTGACTTAGGAAAACAATCCCGAACGTACAGCTCTGAGTCGTTCTCACACCTGTCTATGAGGACAGAGGTAAAAGGATGTTCATTAGTGGATTGTTTGTGCTATCTGGGAGATGGAAGCCACCATGAAGGGAATAGCTAAATAAAAGGAATGTATATTAACTATGGAATAGTAGTTAGCAGTAGTTAGAAGCAGCCAACTAGTTATACACACAGCAACACGAATAAGAAGCACTTATAAATACAGTGCTGCATTGCAAAGGCAAGAATCAGAGAAAGCTCTACAGTGCAGTACCATTCTGGCAAATTAATGATGCCAGTATTAGTCAGGGTTCTACAGAGAAACAAAACCAATGGGAGATATACGTGCACGCGCACGTGCGTGCGCACACACACACACACACACACACACACACAATTTATTATAAGGAATTGGTTCACATGATCATGGAAGCTGACAAGTCCTAAGATTTGTCGGTAGTGAGACCCAGGAGAGTTGATGGTGTAGTTCCAGTCTGAATGCCAGCAGGCTCCAGATTCAGGAAGAGCAAATTCTTCAGCTCAAATTCAAACACATGAAAAAGCCTCGATGTCTCAGTTTGAAGGCCACAGGCAGGAGGGGGTCCCTTTTACTCGAGGAAGTTCCAGTCTTTTTGTCCTTTCAGATGGGATGAGGCCCACCCACATCATGGAAGGCAATCTGCTTTACTCAGCCTGCAGATTCCAATGCTAATCTCATCCAGAAACACTCTTGTGGGTACACCCAGAATAATGTTGGACTGTATACCTGGGTACCTTGTGGCCCAATCAAGTTGACACATAAAGTTAACCACCATGATATATATGCTTACAAGACAAAATTACATGTTTACAAGGGTATATGTTAATTCAAGGATAGATGATAAACACATCAGAGTGGCTGATCAGGAGGGTAGACATAGTAAGCTTGGAAAAGAAATTTTAAAAGGACAAAAAAATCAAGAAAAAGAAATTAATAAGAACAACACTAGCAACGCTAAGGGTCTTACCAAATGTCCTAATCAGGTCCTCAACGTGAATAAAGTGATGATCAGTTCAGGAGGTGTGGAGAACATTCAGGTAGAAAATAAGATTTGAATGTGAGTCATGGTGCTAGAAATTTTCTGTGGGGTCCTCAAGATATGCTTCACTCTTCTATACCTGCTCTGAGCCCCAGGAGGCTGGCTTTTAGGAACATCATTTGGCTTCCTTGTTCCTGGCTTCCCAATAGTTCTGGCCAGTGGGAGACAATGGCAGGAGATGGGTGGATTGCAGGAGAGAGAGGATGGAGTGTTAACTTCCCTGGATTCCTCTGTACCAGGCCTCCACTTAGCAATGCTTGCACTTCTTTCATGAAAGTTACAGCTCCAATGGATCAGATCTATCCTGGAGCTTCAACTCTTGCCAGGTCTGGTCTGCTAACTCTTCTCATCCCTGGTCCTTTCTCAACCTAGGAATGGTTATCACTTCCTGCTGGGGATGGTCCTGGGTGCTTCATCCTACTTTGTTGCTGCTCTTCACCTCTGCCCATGCATTTGTAAATAGTTCCTTCTTTAAACTCTTAGTCAGGGCCCTAGCTGATACAGGGACTGCACCAGCATCAGTCAAAAAAGATTCAGGGGCTGGGTTGCTTACATATCTGATGAGTTCTCTGATATCCTCCTCACTGGGGGAAACGAGACACTGGTAATCCGTAGCATGTGTTGGCATCAATTACTTAAATTATTGCCAGTGGTAGCATGGGAGAGAGTGCTGGTGGAAGCCAAGACTTGGAGAGATCAAAGGACGGAGATACTTAGTCACTATGGCAACAATAAAGATTTTAGAGATGTGATGTGGGCAGATCATGTCTGGTGGCACTAGAGATTATACACAGAGAAAAGGACAAATGGCAAGATTTGAATGTCCTTGAAGGGGTGCAGGGGTAAAATCAGAAAGCCCCTATAGTCATTTTGAATGAATCTCTTTTGTCTAGTAATAGCTGCTGAGGATCAAGCTCTGTCCAGATTGTAAGAAATATGATGTTGCAGAGCCAACAGCAGCTATATTTCTTATGCTAAGCAAGAGCACCATAGAACAGAATGAGACCCTGAGACATATGGGATGGGGGTTTTGGACTGACATAGCTGTAGCTGAGAACTCTCTCTGAATATTCTGGCTGAGGGGTTGACTTCCCATGCATAAAATCCTTCCAATAACTTCACCCTAAGCAACTGCTAAATTCTCCTCAAGACCTATCTCCACTATCTCATTGCCTTCAGGCCCATGACAAAAGTCAGAGTCCTGTGCAGCCAGACAGAGAAGTACAAAGCTTACTCCAGGAGTAGTTAGCCTGTTGTTTTGGTTCAGTGTAGGGTAGTTACAAACCACCCTAAAACTTAATGGCTTGAGCTAATCACCATATACTCTACAGGTTGGCTAGAGCTCAATTGTGCAGCTCTTCAGCTTGGAGAGCAGATGGAGCTGGAACATCAAACATAACTTTGGGCTTCCCTCCACTTGACTTCTCTCTTTAGCAGTAGTGGGCACATCACCTCTGGTGGCACTAGAGAGAAAAGGACACAGAGAAAAGGACAAATGGCAAGATTTGTCCTTACCTAGTAAGTGGTTCTGAAGGGGAGAGTGGTCCTAGGTCAAGAAGGAAGAGGTATATTTTTTAAAGCCCAGCCTTGAAAGTTATACAGTATTATTTCTACCACGTTACTGTTCAAAACAGATTGCAGGGTCAGCTGATATTCAAGGGGGGAATGATCAATTTCACTTATATTATGGGGAGAATAGTGTTACAGGCTGAAGTGTGTTCTTCCCAAATTCATAGGTTGAAGTCCTAACCTCCTGTACCCCACAATGTGATGGTATTTGGAGACATCGTCTTTAAAGAGGGTAATTAAAATTAAATGAGGTTATGAGGGTGGGCCCTAATCCAATATGATGTGTCTTTATTGTGAGAAGAGATTAGGACACAGATATGCACAGAGAGAAGATCAAGTGGAGGCACAAAAAGATGCCCAAGCCAAGAAGAGAGGATTTTATAAGAAACTAACCCTGTCAATCCTTTAGTCTCAGACTTCTAGCCTTCAGAACTGTAAGAAAATACACTTCTGTTGTTTAAGCCATCCAATTTATGGTTCCTAGTTATGGCAGACCTTGCAAACTAATACAAATAGCAAAGCATATGCAGTCATCTTTACCATACCTATAAACTGCTATATTTGCTGTGTCTTGCTAATTTTTATTAGCAGAATCTCGGAAAAAGGTATGGGAGTTGATTCTAAGAGTAATAGGCCAAGAAGATCAAAATATAAGATTAAATCAGAACAAATTTGTCAATGAGGGTATTCATCTAGGATTTGAGATTTAATATATTGCCATAGCAGCTAAGAATGGCATTAACAATCTACTAGATTGGATAATTAAAGCCTGGCCTCAACAGCACCCTATAGTCAAGGATATTTGAATCCTAGAACTTTCCTGGCAAAGAGGAAGGATTCCTTGAAAAAGTCTGTGATGACTGTACTATGTACACCCATGATCATGGTGGGAGATGCTGCAGTGAAATTAGGTTCACAGGTTTCACTGGGAATAATGGGATCCAGGCACTGTGGAGGTCCAGTGGCGTAGATTAATTGTCAGAGATAAGTGGGTGCAATTACTGAATTAAGCCCCAGGGATAGAGTGGTAATCAGAGTGTTTTGACCCACAGCAAACTATGTTGATGGCTAACGATTAATGAGTCCCTGGTAATAAAATAGATGTGCAGCCTACTAAGGTGATGCTTGACATATAAGCGGAAAAGTTTTAGGTCTCTTGGGTGCAAGCCTGTCTCAAGTTGCCATAGTAGAGATTTATAACCTCATTCCCAGTTGCCAGACTCATGAGAGTTCGTTCATCCAGAGTCCATCAATTAATGGGGAGGCTAGGTCCATTTGAGAAAAGACTCTTGAAAATCTTACATGCTGAATTCTCGGCAAAAACATCCTCTGAGTCTGAGGGATATGTTGCCATTTGCAAGGGTGTCTGCAAATTAGGGGACAAGAAGTATCTGGGCTTCCCCATAAGTTGTTAGATACTGGCTCTGACCTAATGTTTAATTCTCAGAAACATAAACTAATTCCTAATCCTCATAATACCACATGGTCTGGTCATTCAGAGTGGAGGCCTATGAAAGTCAGGTGATCAATTGAGTCTACCTTACAGGGACTAGAGGGTTGTGAACCCATACTGTGGTTATTTTCCCACCATAAATGTAATTGATATGGTAGGTAGAAGTCTAATAATGGCACCCAATGACTCTTGTCCTTGCCTTTGTACAGTGTTTTCCCTTGAGTGTGGAACATGTGAATATGATGAGCTGTCCCTCTCATGATTATTTTATGTTATGTGGTAAGAAAGATATCATCTGAATGGGCCTAATCTAATCACATGAACCCTTTAAAAGATGAAAGTTTTTATTCCAGCTACTGGCAAAAGAGTGAGTCAGAGATTTCAAGCACAGTAGGGATTCCAGGTGCCATTGCTGGCTTTGAAGATGGAGGTAACCACATGCGAAGGAATGCAGGGGGTCTTTAAAAATAGAGAGAAGTCTCCAGCTGGAAGCAAAGAAATGAAGACCTCAGTCCTCCAACCACAAAGCACTGAATTCTGCCAACAATCTGAATTAGCTTGGAAGTGGATTCTTCCCCAGAGCCTCCAGATAAGAGCCCATCCCAGCTAACACCTTGACTTTGAACTTGTGAGACCCCAGGCAGATAGTCCAGTTCAGCCTGCCTGGAATTCTTATCTGCAGAACTGTAAGATAACAAATAGAAGTTGTTTAAAGCTGCTAAATTTATGGTAATGTTACTCAGCAGCAGAAAATTGAGAATACAATTGTGAATAGATATACTTAGCAATTGGAAGAATCCCTCTATTACTCTCCAACCCAATAAGTAAGGAGTATTTTGATAGGAAGGAATTGTCTACCACTTGTTTCAAATAAAGAAGCAATACTGTATCCCAAAGAGATACTGTGGATATAAATGCCACCATAAAAGACTCGAAAGATTCAAGGATGGTGATTCTCTGTTTAACTTGATTCTGTGTCCAGTACAAAATCCAGATAGCCTTGGAAAGTGACTGTGGATTATCACAAATATAATTAGGTAGTAATGCCAATTGCAGCATGGTTCAAAATGAGGGATGTTTACTGGAAGAAATCAACACAGTCTCCGGCATCCAATATACAGTGGTTGATTTAGCAAATGCTTTATTATTTACCAACCTTCATTGATAAAGGTAACTGTAAGCATTTTGCCTTCATTTGTCCGGGACAAGAACCCATTGTCTTATCACAGGATGATGTGAGCTCTCCTGGTCTTAAGGAAACTGATTATTTTGATGTCCTACAGAACATCATTCTAATCCATTATATTAAAGATATAATGCTAATTGGACTCAGTGAGCCAAGTATCAAGCAACTTATATAGTTTATGAGACACATGCATGCCAGAGGATGACAGAAAATCTAAAAAGTCAGGAGCCTGACATATTGGTAAAGTTTTCATGAGTCTGGAAAGAAAATTCCCCTCTGAGTGAGATACAAGTAGCTGCTTCTTTCACTTTCCTATAACAAAGAGAAAGGCAGACTATTAGGGGTGTATCTTTACATTTTGAATGCTTGGGCTCAATAACAAGAACTTACTCTCAAGAAGGCTTATTTTGTTACTGCCATTGCTGAGTGCTCAATTTGCCAGCAACAGAGGCTACTGCTGAAATTTTTATATGGCACGCAGTTATTCTTGGGGAACAAACAAACTACCTTAATGTAAGTTGATTACATTAGACTTCTCTCCTTGTGGAGGAGATATCAATTTGTCTTCAAGGTAATATGTGTGTGTGTTTGTGTGTGTAGATAGATATAGATATACAGATATTCTGAAAATAAACTTGTCTTCCCTGCTTGCAATACTTCTGGTGGCACCACCAGTCAAGGATTTATAAATATTTTATCTATTGCCATGGTGTCTCATACTTCATGCCTCTGAACAAGGAACTTACGGTAAAAGAAATATACCAATGGGTTCACATCTATTGCGACCCATCACTGAGGAGAAGCTTGCTGGATAAACTTATAGAATGCCCTGTTGAAGATTCACTTATGGTGCCAGCTGGGAGACACCACCATATGAGATTAGAACTTACAGGATAAAGTACATGCCTTAAATCAGTGGCCCTAAGTGGTGCTGCCTTCCCTCAAGCCAGAATGCGTAGGCCCAAGATTAATGAAATGGAAATTAAAGTATACTTAAGGAACTTTTGCTGCCTTCTTCTACAACCTTACCTTAATGGGTTTGGAGGTCCTTGTGACCAAGAGAAGAATACTTTTAACAGGAATTACAGACATGGTTCTGTTATATTTCAAGCTGGGAATTGCCCCTGCCATTTTAGGGTCCTTTTGCTGTTGATCCAACAGGCAGAGATGGCTGTCACTGTAAAGATCAGGTCCTGATTACCAATAAGAAAGTTTGTTGCCTTATCCATTACCATGATAGATCACATTACATTGTCTCTTACATTATTTACTTATTACTGTATGATAAATTATCCTGAGCCTTAGTGGTTTAAAATAACAGGCATTTATTAACTAAATCTCTATTTTAGGTCTCTCACAAGGCTGCAATCAAGGTGTCTGTTGGGATTGCAGTCTCATCTGAAGATTCGACTGGGGAAGAATCCATATCTAATTTTACTCATGTGGTTGTTAGCAGAATTCAGTTCCATGATGGCTCTTGGACTGGGGACCTCAGTTCTTCACTGGGCTTCCTTGCCAAATGGCCTTCTCCACAGGGCCCCTAACAACATGTTACCATGCTTCATCAGGGCAAGAATTCCAGAATAGCCAAAGGGACAGAGATAGAGATAGAGAGAAGACAGATGTCAAATCCCTTAATGACCTCATCTCAAAAGTAAAGTGCCATCATTTTTGCCATATTCTGTACATTAGATTCAAGTCACTAAGACCAGCTCACACACATAAGCATGGGAAGGGGAGTCACAGAAGGGTATCAATACCAAGAGATAGAGATTATTGGGGGTCATTTTAGAAGGTAAAATTTAGTACCACAAAGCACTTATTTTATGAAGAAATAATTGAAGCAGTAGGCTTATATTTATTGTGCCCTGTCACACAGAAGGACTAAATTAAGACCAATCTGGGACCCATGGGAATTCTCTGGGTCTCTCTTAGTACTTTCTTGTCCAATAGTCTTAGTCAATGGAAAGCTGTTGCAGTTCAATAAAAAAGGATAGCTGATGACTAAGACCCTAAAGAAATGAGGGTTTGAGTCATCCCATCTCAAGATGATGCAGAAGCTACTCTGCAGGTAGTAAATGTAATATATGTGTGGAAAAAAGAAGCAATGATTACCAATTAATTTCTTGTGACCACTTACAGCAATGAAAACTCTAGCAGCTAAATTTTAGGTGAATTAATTATGTTTTGTCTTCTTCCTCCCACCCCAACTGCCTTATATGAAAGAGCAGAGCACTCCTGGTGTTAATATTTTAGGTTTAAGGTGAAACTGAATTGACATTATCAGGTGATGATATAAAGCTACTAAAATTTTATGTGTTCCACCTGTTAAGATCATGAGCTTTCCATCCAAAGCGTAAGAGTGAATGCAAAGGGAGAAAGTGGGGTGGCGGTGAATGGGCTACGCTGGGTGTTCATCATTTACTTTCCCAGATCCACTCCCCAGACCTTTCTGTCATTCTTCTGTGCCACCAAAAGCTAACCTCTAAGGATAGTTGGGCTCCTGTTGGGTTCAGTCAATGAGAATCATTGGCAGAAGACTGAAGAGTGGAAAGGGAGAGAGCTTGAGTGTTTATCCCTCTGTGTCCCTTCTGGTCACAGTTTGGCAATGGCTACTTTCTTCCCTTGAAAATCCCAGCACCAGTTGGGAAGCCCCATCCTCCTAGAGCTAAGGGTCTCACTGGTTCCAGCAACAGCTTCTTCTATCTTTTGGCTGAGGACAGGTAAAAGCTTCCCATTGTTGCTGGCTCTAGGGTGCTTCACTGTCCCTAGCGGGTTTCTCTTCACCCTGCCAACATATTTATAAATACTCCTTTTCTTAAACTCTATCCCTTTTGTGTGAATCATCTGTTTCATGTTAGGGGTATAGTTGATTCAGTTAAGTGATTCATTAGGAGTTTTTGTGAACAAGTTTGGTTACCATTTCCATTCAGGAAATATACACAATGCATGTTATTCTCATGAATGATTTAATATAGTTTATTACAAAATTTGTGTTTCATAAAAGGTGTCCAATAAACACATGTTGAGTTGAATTTATGAGTTGTGACATAAAATCTATCCTGAGCATTCTTTTTTTCATAAAGAAAATCTAAGAAACTTTCAAATATAACAAGTCACTGCCAGAATCCCAAAGGATTTACATGATTGGCCAGAGTTTATTTAATGACTTAGAGAACTCACGTCCTAGGATGTAGAGCTCTGAGTTTTCGTCCCATGGAGAACTGACAAATCTAGCCCTCTATAGAACTTATTTTGATGGGCAGGGGTTGGGGAGAGACATGTGGATGAGAACTTTTTCTGGTGAGGTGCTTTCAGGATGCAAAGAGATTAGGAATGCCAAATATAACTTTCTGCAAGCAGTAGCTTTTTTGTTTTTTGTTTTTAAGATAGAGTCTCACTCTGTCACCCAAGCTGGAGCGCAGAGATACTGACTCACTGCAACCTGCACTTCCTGCGTTCAAGCAGTCCTCCCACCACAGCCTCTGGAGTAGCTGGGACTACAGGAATGCGCCACCACACCTGGCTTTTTTTCTTGTATTTTTAGTAGAGTTGGGGTTTCACCATGTTGCCAAGACTGTTCTGGAACTCCTGGCTTCAAGTAATCCACCCACCTCAGCCTCCCAAAGTGTTGGGATTACAGGCATGAGCCACCACTCCCAGTCCCAAGCAATAGCTCTTTCTAAAGGCTGTCTCCGAACATCACCTCTGGTCTCCATAAAGCAGGTCAGTGAATGGGGTGGCTATCTGTTTGTCACCCTGAGCTTCATAAAAGCCTGGCCCTCCACTGGCTGCAGCTCACCGGTGGGTTATTCTACTCCACCTCTCCCTACTTCTAGTCTACCAAATGCAGGTAGATGGTACTCAATGCACCCCAGAGCATCTCAGAGGAGACTAATTAGATTTGCAAAATGCCTCCTGCTATTTTTAAAGTTTGACTTTCAGTTGACATTAAAGCAAAATATTTGGATAAAATGCTATCCTTGGCTTTGAGAAGCTGGCATGAGTTGGTCCAGTGAGGTGCTTTTTGATCCAGCTTTCCTCAAATGGAGAGAGTGCTGGACCACGGTGAGTTCCAGATTTCTTGAAGATCAATCCTAAGTCCCTTCAAGACTTGCACTCTGACTCAGAAAATACCTGCCAAAATATAGGTTTCAAACCTTCCATCTGTATATGTGTTTTCCCTCTTTTAATCTTTCCCAGAAAGATAGGTCCTGGAGTTTTTCATTCATTTTCAGCTGTCTTTGGCTTTTCCCTGAGTTCCCTAAGATTCGCTCATGTCTTTCTTTTTGATATCTATGGAAAACCTACTTAACATGGCATTGACAAAGAATTTGTAGAACAAAAAAGGAGCTTGTATCATATCGTTATATTAAGAAGCATACAAAGCCATATACAGTGTGATCACAACCACTTAAAATATGCTCAAGAAATACAACGTTTATGCCTTTGGGTGGTGGCAAAAATAGTTGTTTTTTACATATTTTAGAAATAATTTGTATAAACATTATCACATCTATGGTGAAAATATTAAGTTTATTTAAAATAAACAAAATATATTTGGGGCCACTGTTTACAATGGCACAGTTTGTAACTAGCCAGGGCATGTGGCTGAATGTGGTTAAAATCTAGACCAAGCACAGTTGTGGCCTGGAGGTACACCTGTCCAGGAGGCTATCTCTTTCTAATTTATCTGCCTAGAGTGGGGAGGGTCTTTTCTAATTCCCATAGAGGCTTCGTAAAAACTAGCTGAGTTTCAGAATATGGAGCTGATGAGTAAGCTGATTAGTTTCGTGATGATGACATTGGGGTCCTTGCTAATTTCTCTAAGTGGGACAATTGTGTTTTCCATGTTCCCCATTCTCTGACATCATTAGAAGCCCAGCACAACTGTTGTATAATTGTGCTTTGTTGGTTCCAAATAGAGCTGAGCGATTCAAATCCAATACCCTCTGCTGGAAAGACATGCCAACTTTGCAGCCCAAAGTTTGATTTCAGCAAAACACTGTAGGTGTTTTGGATCATTCAGCTTAAGACTTTCTGAGCAAGTGTTGTTCTCAGAAGGAAGTTGGGGTAACTTCTGTCTAATGCAAGTTAATCAGAAATGCCTTAGCCCAGATTTTCCAAACTGAGTTCTGCAAGATGTTAGTGTGGTTTTATATCCATACATCCACACACGTGCACATATATGATGTAACAATAATTTGTTCTACAGTTATATAAAAGAGTATTAAGTGAGATGCTTTCTGTTTTCTCAGAGACCTCAAAGGTCAAGAACAACACAGCAGTCCCTAGTACTCCCACATGCTATAGATGCACACTTCCAGGACTTGCTCTTGTCCTATGCCCTTCTAGGTTCAGTATTAGGAAAGGTGGATGGAATAAAAGACTTTGGAGAGATTAAAAAGTAGGGACTTGTTAGAGAAGGAGCTGTCAGAAAGCTGTGAGTCCTCACTCCCTTCTCCACCACAGCACATGGGGTGCCTGCCCTACAACTCCAGTCATGCAAGGAGAGCCTCAGGAAGACATCTGAAGAACTTGACATGGTTTCCCTAGAGTTGAGAAGTGCAGAACTTGGTATCTGATGAACATTTGAAAAGTCTGAAGACAGGAGCTGGAACTGAAGCTTCCCAGTTGGCATAGGAGCAAGGAGAGCTGCTCTGGGAAGGGCCTCTCTCTCTCTCTCTCTATTGTTGTTGACATGTGGAAAACTATACACAATTAATGTATACAACTTGATGAGTCTGGAGGTATGTATCTATGAAACCATAATCACAATCGATGCTGTAAACCCATTCAACACCTCCAAAAGTTTCCTTTCATCCTCTTATTTCTTTTTTTTTTTGTGATAAGAATGCTTAACAAGAGATCTATAATTTCAGCCAATTTTTAAGTATACAGAATAGTATTAACTATTATAAGCACTATGCTGTATGGTAAACCTATATGACTTATTCTTTTTTTGTAACTGAAACTTTGTACCCTTTGATTAATACCTCCCCCTTTTCATCTCCTGCCAACCTCTGTAACCACCATCTCACTCTCTACTTTGATGAATTTGACTCTTTTAGATTCATCTTATAAATGGTATTATGTGATAATTTTCCTTCTGTGTCTGACTTGCTTCAATTAGCATAGTATTTTTCAAGTTCACCATGTTGTCAAAAATGGCAGGGTTTCCTTCTCTTTTGGGGCTAAATAATATTCTACTATACGTATAAACCACAGTTTATTTATTCATTCATCAATGGACATTTAAATTGCTTATATGTCTTAGCTATCATGAATAATGTTGTAATGAACATAGGAATGCATAAATCTTTTTTTTTAACTTTTAAGTTCTGGGATACATGTGCAGAACGTGCAGGTTTGTTAAATAGGTATACATGTGCTATAGTGGTTTTCTGCACCTATCAACCTGTCATCTAGGTTTTGAGTCCCGCATACGTTAGGTATTTGTCCTAATGCTCTCCCTCCCCTTGCCTCCCACCCCCAGACAGGCCCTGGTGTGTGATGTTCTCCTCCCTGTGTCCATGTGTTCCCATTGTTCAACTCCCACTTGTGAGTTAGAACATGCAGTGTTTGGTTTTCTCTTCCTGTGTTAGTTTGCTGAGGATGATGGTTTTCAGGTTCATCCATGTCCCTGCAAAGGACATGAACTGGGGAATGCATATATCTTTTTGAGATCCTGGTTTCAATTCCTTTGGACAAATACCCAGAAGTTGGATTGCTGAATAAAATGATAGTTCTATTTTTAGTTTGTAATTGCTATATTGTTTTCCATAGTAAATACACCAATTTACTTTCCCACCAATAGTGTACAAGGATTCCATTTTCCCCACATCTTCTCCAATATTTGTTATCTTGTTTGCCATTCAATATTGCTATATATGTATATAAAAATAGCCATCATATGTGAAATAATATTACACTGTGGTTTTGATTTGCATTTCTCTGATGGTTAGTGATGTTGAATGTCTTTTTGTATACCTGCTGGGCATTCGTATATCTTCCTTGGAGAAATGCCTATTCAGTACCTTTTCCCATTTCTTAATATTTTTTCTATTAATTTGTAGAAGTTCCTTATATATTTTAAATATTAGCCCTTTATCAGATAGTGTATGGTTTGCCAATATTTTATTTGATTTCATAGGTTGCCTTTCATTTTGTTGATTGTTTCCTTTCCTGTGCAGAAGCTTTTTAGTTTAATGTAATACTACTTGTCTATTTTTGCTTTTGCTGCCCAAGCTTTTTGTGTCATATCCAAAAATTTATTGCCAAGACCAATATCCAGAAGCTTTTTTCCTATGGTTTTTCTAGAAGATTTATGGTTTCAGGTCCTATGTTTAAATATTTAATCAATTTTGAGGGTTTTTTGTATGGTATGAGGTAAGGGTCCAATTTTGTCCTTTTGTTTGTGGATATCCAGTTTTTCTAACACCATGTATTATTAAAGAAAATATCCTTTCTCCCCTTTCCTTTCCTTTCCTTTTTCTCCCTCCTCCTCCTTCTTCCTTTCCTCCTTCTTTTTCTTTTCATCTTCATCTTCTTGCCCCCAACTCTCTCTCTCTCTTTTCTTTTTTTTTCAGAGTCTCACTCTGTTGCCCAGAGTGGAGTGCAGTGGTGCAATTTTACCCCAACCTCTACCTTCTGTATTCAAGTGATTCTCATGCCTCAGCCTCTTGATTAGCTGGTATTTTACAATTGTCAAATATCAGTTGGCTATAAATACATGAGTTTATTTGAGGTTCACTATTCTGTTCCATTGGTCTATCTGTTTGTTTCTATGTCAGGATCATACTGTTTTTATTACTAAAGCTTCGAAATATACTTTGAAATCATAAAGTATGTTATTTCTCAAGTTTTTTTTTTAGCTGCTCAGGATCTTTTATAGTTCTATTAATTTTAGGATGTTTTTCTATCTCTATAAAATTGCCATTATAATTTTGATAGGAATTGCATTGAATCTGTAGATTGCTTTGGGTAGTATGGACATTTTAACAATATTAATTCTTCCAATCCATGGACACAGGGTGTCTTTTTATTCTCTTGGGTGTAACAAGTCTTTTATGTTTTTTTATTAAGTTTATTCCTAATTATTTTAGGTTTTTGATGCTATTGTAAATGAGATTTTTCTTAATTTCTTTCCAGATTATTCTGTTAGTTTATAAAAATTCATTTTTGTATATTGATTTTACACCTTGAAGTTTTGTTAAATTCATTTATTGGTCCTAAGTATTTTTGTGGTGTCTTTAGTGTCTGCTGTTTCCTGTTGGCTTTCTATCTGGATGATCTTTTCATTATTGCAAGTGAGGTTTTGAAGTTTCCTAGTGTTATTGTATTTCTGGCTATTTATCCTTCAGCTCTGTTAATATTTTCCTTATAAATTTAAGTGTTCCAACGTGGAAACATTTAATTTCCTTATAACGCTTATTTTCCTTATACCTTTAAGTGTTCCAAAATATATTGGGTGCATATAATTTTAATTGCACATGTCAAATTGACAATTTTATCTTATGTAATGAATTTTTTTCTGTTGTGACAGTTTATTACTTAAAGTATATTTTGTCTGATATAAGTATAGCCACCCACTCCCTGTTTTAGTTACCATTTGTATGGAATATCTTTTCTCATCCTTTCACTTTTAACCTATATGTGCTCTTAAATCTAAAGTGGGTCTCATAGACAGAATATAGTTGGATTAGATTCTTTGTTTCCATTTAGCTACTATGTGTCTTTTGATTGATTAATTCAACCTATTTACATTTGGAGTAACTATTGGTAAGTAAGGATCTACTATTGCCATTTTGTTAGTTTTTTTTTTTTTTCTGTTTTGTAGTTCTTTTGTTCCCCTCTTGCTGTTTCCTTTGTAATCTGATCATTTTTGTAGGGATATATTTTTATTCTTTTTTATTTTTTTTGTTTCTGCTATTTTCTTTCTTAGTGGCTACTATGAGAATTGCATAAAATTTCTTATTGTTGTTAACAGTCTCTTTTGAGCTGATATCAACTTCAATTGCATACAAAACATGATGCTACACCCTCCCAATAGTTTATGTTATTGATATCAGAATTTACTTTCTAAATATTTTATACTCGATACAAACAAATTTTGGGGGTTGTATTTATTCTCGATACTTTTGTCTTTTAACTTTTATACTAGGAATAAAAGTGATGATTTATCACCCTTATACTACTACATTACTCTGTATTGGCCTATATGCTTATCTTTACCCGTAAGATTTATACTTTTATATACTTTGTTTTGTTTGCCAGTGTCCTTTTGTTTAAACTCGAACAACTCCCTTTAGAACTTTTTGTAAGGCAGGTCTAGTTGTGACAAATTCCTTCAGTTTTTGTTTGTCTGGGAAAGTTTTTGTTTTTCATTTCTACAGACAGTTTTGCTGATATAATATTACTAGTTTGTAGGGTTTTTTCAGCACTTTAAATATCTCATCACACTGTTTCCTAGCCTGCAAGATTTCTGCTGAAAAATCCTTTGAAAGTATTATAGCAGTTTCTTTGTATATGATGAGTCAGTTTTCTCTTATTGCTTTTACAATTTTCTCTTTGTCTTTGGGTTTTGACAATTTAATTATAATGTGTCTCAATGTAGACTTTTTGAGATTAAACTTACTGGGGTTCTTTAAGATTCACGAATTTGTATGCCCATTTCCTCCCCAGATTTGGGAAGTTTTCAGCCATTATTTCTTTAAATAAGCTTTTTTTTTTCTTTCTCTTTCTCTTTTGCTTCTACGACTCTAATAATGCATATATTGATGGTGGCCTATAACTCCTGTAGGCTCTCTTTACTCTTTTTTAAAAAATATTTTTTTTCTTTTATTTTCTCTGACTGCATAATTTCAAATGGCCTGTACCTGGGCTTACTGATGTTTTCTTCTGCTTGATTGAGTTTGCTTTTGGTACTCTCTACTGAAATTTTTCATTCCAGTCATTGTATTATGCAGCTCAAGAATTTATACTTGCTTTTTTATGGTTTCTGTCTTTTTATTGAACTTCTTATTTTGTCATGTATTATCTTTCTGATATCATTTAGTTATCTTTTTGCATTATCTTTTAGCTCACTGAGGTTTTCTTTGTTATTAAATTCTGGGGTACAGGTGCAGAACGTGCAGTTTTGTTACAGAAGGTGGTTTGCTGCACCCATCAACCCATCACCTACATTAGGTATTTCTCTTAATGTTATTTCTCCCCTAGCCCCCCCTTCCCCGACCCCCTGACAGGCCCCAGTGTGTGATGTTCCCCTTCCTAAGTCCACGTGTTCTCATTGTTCAACTCCCAATTATGAGTAAGAACATGCAATGTTTGGTTTTCTGTTCTTGATCACTGAGTTTTAAAAGGAGATTAAATTCTTCGTCAGACAGTTCATAGATGTTAATTTTTATAGGGCTGGTTACTGGACATTTATTTTGTTCTTTTGGAAATGCTAAATCTCCCTGAAACTTAGTGATCCTTGTGGCCTTGTGTTGGTATGTGCACATTTGAAGTAGTCACTTTTACCAATCTTTGCAGACTGGACTCAGCAAGGAAAGCCTTTCACCAGGTAGCTTGACAAAAGATTCCAGGTAGGAATGCTGTTGGGGTATGTGGATGGGTGATGGTCCCAGAGCCCGGGTCTTCATGGGAAAACCTGGAGCCTGGATCTATGAGGGCAGACCCACAACAAGTCTTGAGAGGCAGGTATTTTTGCCAGGATCTGTGGAGAAGTTGGACACTCCTTTTTCTCTCTTTTCCCCACAGGAGACTTCAGGCCTGAAGATATCTCTCTATATACTGCACTGCATGGGCTTGTGAGAGGAGTGCTGTGGGTAATGTGAAACTATCCTTCCTACTCTCTTTAATATATCTTTTCTCATTTTTGGGCTCCACCCAGGTGCTGTAATCTCTTACCTGGATTCCAGAGCTCTTTTGAAGATATTTTCCTTTATGAATGGTTATAAAACTGGTATTTCTGTAGGAGGATGAGGGCTGTCACCTTACATATTATTATCTTTCTGACATCATTCTAAAGTATCGTTATAGAATTAGCCCCTGCCATCCTACTTGTTAAATATTATTTCACATCAAAGTGTTCCCTGCAGTCATTTCTGAGTTTTCCCGTGGTGTTGCAATACTTACATGGAAGAGCAAGTTTCTCTGACCCCTCAGTTCCAATTTGCTTGTTACAATTTTGCTCCCTCATCTGTTTATTCTATTGTTTCCACTGGAACTGATGCTGATTTCTTCCCAGCCCCAGTGAGAATACACTGCTTCTCTCATGTCCAAAATGTCCATTTTGCCTACTCTCCTGGATTCTCTGGAACGAGAAATCAGATCTGCCACCTTTCAACAGGGGTTGTACAACATTGACTGTTTCAGAAGCCAGCCACTTCTTTGTGCTTCTGCTGCCAGTGCTGCTTCCAGTTGAGAGTTCCTTCAAGAACAGAATGCTCAGTGGTGCCACTTATACCTGTTGTCTCTACAGGTCCAGAAGTCATTTGCCTCAAAAATCTGGGCTATTCCTGCCCTCTCCACATGTCTAGAGTCTTTTCTGACCCATAAAGGAGAAGTTTCTCTCTTCTCTATTCCAAAATCCCATTCCACTTTCTAACCTGGATTAACTACTTCTCCAGTATGACTGGCAAAGCAAATGTTAATTTCCTTTAGGGGAATGCTCTATCACCAACCACCATTTTAGCCTGATGAACCTAGCAAGACAATAAAAAAATTACATTGTCTTTGTGCTGAAATGATCTTTGATCCCTTTTTCACATTAGAAACTGAATACATTTATGCAATTGTCTTAACAATTATGTGATAAACTATTTTTAAAATATGTTCTGCTACACCAATTGATCACATTAGTGACATCTTTGTTATGCAGATTGTCTTATAATTTCAACATACTTTTGTCATTGTATTCAAATTTTATTCCACGGTAAATATTTATATGATTCCAACTTATTCCCAAAGGACATATGACAGAAATAAAAAGAACACGTGAAGTCTCATGTTCCTCACAGTGTCTGAATAAAATAAACAAAAAGTCAGAAAGCAATTCCAAGTAAAGACAAATAATTGCACTTTATAACACATGAACCCCTGACTCTCTTATCATTCCACTGATGCATAAGAGTGGTGATAGTATTCAAACTGTTAAATGGCTTAATAAGCTTGGTAAATACTGCATTATCAGATGAATTGAGGCTGGCAAGTAGGGAAAGTGAGGATGAAGCAGTTCCTGTCTGGATGGGAGACTTAATTCATTAAGGTCATCAGAAAAAAAAAAAAAGAAATTCAGAGGAGACAGGAGAGGAATTAAAACTAGTGTCATGAGGCTGGCCAGAAGAAGAATGAAGTTCAGAAGAGTAAGGGACAGGCAAAGCTTTGAAGCTGGAGCACAGGCATGTCTGAGGCTCTGCCTACAGAAGGTAAAGCTGTACCCTCTGAGACAGGTACTGCAGTGCATGCTTGGAGAACAGTATAGGAGCAGGTGCAAGGAGTCTTGCGACTACAGGTCCAGGATAAAAAGATGCCAGGGGTGACTGGGGAGTCTGCTGAGCTGTATGGGGGTGGCTGCACACAGATTGAATATGCCTGATCTGGTGGAGAGCTGACTTCCTGCAGTGACTGAGCACCTGCCAAGATGCATCAAATCCAGCAATCACTACCCACTTCTTTTAGGACGTGTGGGTAAAATTGATGCAACCTTAAGCAGCTTGAAATTTGTCTCTAGTATTAATAGTTTGATGTCTGGGAAAGAAGACTGAGGGCCTCAAGATACAAGATATTGACATTTCCTTTTATTCTCCCACTCAAGGATGATAACTTAGAGGTGAAAGGAAGGTGTGTGAAGTGAACCTTGTAGAAGATTTAAAAGAAACAGGTCATGGTCCTGTGGACTGTGTTTTGAGATACTAGAATAATAAGCTTGCTTCTGCTAGAGGCTACTCTTCAGAAAGTGTTTTGTTAAGAGTTAACTTACTCTCTTGATCAAGAGGGATTTAAACTGAAATTCGAGAGAGACAGAAGAAGCATTCAGATAAAACAATACATCAGGAAACTGTGGAGGATGAAGGGCATGGTCTAGAACAGCTATTCACAAATGCGAGAGACTTCAGTTCCCTATGAGGTTAATTGGTATTCAGCTAAGAATGGTTCTGCGATCAAGTAAGAGTGAGAAACCTCAGGTTACACAGAGCTAATCAGGTTTCTTTAGAGAAACCTAACCTCTCACACCAATATGCATGGTGACTTTGAGAGGGGGTTAAAGAACAAAGGGTTCCATAACTTGTTTAACCATAGAATTTTTTTTTCCCACTGACACTTCCTTAGGTATCATAAATAAGCTAGTGACCCATGGTAGCTCAACTGGGAAGCACTGATTTAGAAGAATGTAGCTCTATAGAATCCCTTTTACCTCCTTCCACAATTCTACAAACGTCTGAGAAGACTGATTGGTATTTGAAAGGGCTCAATAAATGAAGGCCTATTCCCTACTATGGGAGCCAGTTTAGAGACAAACAATGAAGTCGGAAAGAATATCTAGGTGATCTTTCTTATTAATCAAAGCCAGATGGAGAACTAATAAATAAAATAAATTTTATTTATTCTTAAAAATTTAGTATATATATATATTTTTTTGAGACGGAGTCTCACTGTGTTGCCAGGCTGGAGTGCAGTGGCGCGATCTCGACTCTCTGCAACCTCCGCCTCCCCAGTTCAAGCATTTCTCCTGCTTCAGCCTCCCGAGTAGCTGGGACTACAGGCGCCTGTCACCACGCCTGGCTAATTTTTATATTTTTAGTAGAGACGGAATTTCACCATGTTGGCCAGGATGGTCTCGATCTCTTGACTTTGTGATCTTCCCACCTTGGCCTCCCAAAGTGCTGGGATTACAGGCATTAGCCACTGCACTAATTTTTTTAAGAGACGGGTCTCACCATGTTGCCTAGGCTGGTCTTGAACTCCTGGGCTCAAGTGGTCCTCTCACCTTGGCCTCCCAAAGTGCTGGGATTACAGGCATGAGCCACCACGCCTGGCTCTAGGTCTTTTAGTCATGAGGTGCCATGGACTGAATTATGTTCCTATGTGGAAGCCTTCACTCCCATAGTGATTGTATTTGGAGATGCAGCTTTTGGGACATAATTAGGTTCAGACGGAGTCATGAGGGTGGAGCTCTCATAATGTGAGTAGTTCCCTTATAAGAAGACAGACCAGAAAGATTCCCCTAGCCCCCTTCCTTGTGAAGACTCAGCAAGAAGATGACCATCTGCAAGCCAGGAAGAGGGCCCCCACCAGAACTTGACTATGCTAGCACTCTGATCTTGGATTCCACCCTCCAGAACAGTGAAAAAATAAATTTCTGTCGTTTAAGCCACCCTGTCAATGGTATTTTGTTATAGCGGCCTGAGCTAACTAAGAGGTGTGGGGGCTTCCTAAAGCAAACTCAATCCATTTAGTCAGAAGAAGCTCTGGAAAAAATGTAGCCCTTTGCAATGGAGCAGTTTAGTGATTGGCTAAGAACTTATCGCATCCATGCAAGTGAGCATATCTGCCCTGTAGGGCAACTGTGTTCTCCCAGACTCATCAATTACCTATGTCATGCCTTCTCCTTCAGGGAGGGCATTGGAGGCAAAAGCAGGTAGAAGAAAATGTGTTATTCCCTCACAAGGTTCCCAGTTTACCCAAAAAAGAAGCTAAATTACTGAGAAGAATTTGCAATAGTATTTATATAAATATAGTATCTTACATACTATCTTGTATGTATATTTGAAATATTTATATACATATAAGTAGATAAGATACTATATTTATATAAATATTTATATATGTATTTTATACTTATATACATATATACTTATAAGATACTATATATATGATACATCCAAATATACATATGATAGTTTATAAGATACTATATTTATATAAATACTATTCCAAATTCTTCCTCAGTAATTTGGCTTCTTTGGGTAAACTGAGGAAAAATTTGGAAGAGTATTTATATATGATACTATATTGATATGTATATAATACATATAAATAAATACATATAATACATGTTACATATATATAAGATACTATATTTATATGTATATATGTATATAATAGATATATGAATATATGTATATAATACAGATATCTATTATTACATCTATATAATAGATATACTTATATAATAGATATACACATATATCTTATATGTATATAAGATACTATATTTATATAAATACTCTGATATACTGTCTTATATATAAGTATATATACTTATTTATATATTTATATATAATATTATATATAAATACTATAATTTATATATCTTATATATATTTAAGATATATTTACATAATTACATAAATACTATAATTAATGTAAATAGCATTCTAAATTCTTCCTCAGTAATTTAGCATCTTTTTTGAGTAAACTAGGAACCTCGTGAGGGAATAACACATTTTCTTCTATCTGCTTTTGCCTCCTATGACCATGGGATAAACAAAGAGCAGTGATCAGTGAATATTTGCCAAATAGGTAAATATGTGAGATTCATCTTTGTCTCCCCTAGTCCGGTCACAGAAATTCCAGTTATCTCAGTAATATCAATAAACACGTCAGTGTACACTAGGTCACACCTGTGGGTCCACCTTGCTGGCTTTTACAGGACTACAGGCAGAGAAAAGAAAAAAAAAGAAAAGAAAAGATTTGGGGAGTGAATATGTTCTTAGGAACTAAAGAGGAGATCAACAGTTTACTGTGGATTCTAAGCACTACCTTGGCAAACAAGTTGTGAACTGAAGACCATGATTTTGAGACCTGAAAAACTTGGGGATTTTTGTAATATTCTTCTATAATGTCTTATTCCTTGAATATTTCCATTTGTATTCGTTTCCATCATGACTAAGAATCATAAAGGCAAATGCCTGTGAGTTTTTCTTTGGAAGAACCCAGAAGAGGAACTCGAGAGATTCAATCAGGCTTGAGGGGAGGGACCCCCATAGATAGAGGGGGCTTTGGGATTAGTGGCAAGGGAAAGGGTAGACTGTAAGAGCTAGTTGGGGACAGAAGAGGGGCCCTGCCCTTCAATGGTCATTGGGCTTCACAAGGGTGGGGCTCATGACATTGTAAAATGTGAGGTTGTACCTTGTTTAAATAAAAATAGACCCACAAAATGAACTTGTGGAATAACACTTCCCAACTAGATAATATACACCAGTGTGGAGAAGTTTAATGGTCACTGGGCTTCACAAGGGTGGGACTCATGACTAATAATGTGAGAATGTGCCTTTGTTTAAATAAAACAGACCTGCAAAATGGACTTGTGGAATAGCAGTTCCATCTAGATAATGTACACTGGTGTGGAGAAGTTCAAATCTGCACATTGAAGCAAGGGTACTATCATACTGAATTCTAGTCTTCTCATACAACAGGCATTGTCAAGATGCAAATTGGCTGTAAAACCATTAATTAATTAGTTAATGAGATATACAGTTTGCATTACATAGACCCCTATTGGTTATCATACATGTGGGAGTTAGTAATGTATAGTAAAAATAAAAATTACTGAGTTTCCTTTTTTAAACTCTTTTGATTTTTGATCTTTTAGTTTACTCAGGTATATGCTACATGCAAAACTGCAAGTTCATGGTCAAGGGTGATAATAGAGACTATGTGTCAATTGAAGGGCAAACAGATCTGTGTTGAGTTTTGGTTTTCAAGCACTTTTTAACCAATTTATTATTTTTAGCTTGTTATTACATGAACAACTTTAGGTTATTTCAAACATCTTTATTTCCAAAAATTTTGGAGAAAATGTAGCTTTGTTATTTTGAGTTTGAAATTCTCTACTCAAATTCTTTCATTTCCAAGGAAGCAATTGTTTTTCTAGCCTGAAACATTGCTGAAATTGTTTGTCAGATCTAGGAGCTCTGGGGGCAGAGATTACAGGACTTTCTAGATATAGAATCATATCATCTGAAAATGGAAATAGTTTGTCTTTTCTTCCTATTTGGATGCCATTTATTTCTTTCTCTTGCCTGAATGCTCTGCCTAGGACTTCCAGGACTATGAATAGGAGTGGTGAGAGTGGGCATCCTTTTCTTGTTTTGGTTCTCAAGGAGAATGCTACCAGCTTTTGCTCATTCAGTAAGATGTGGGCTGTGGGTTTGTTACAGATGACTCTTATTATTTTGAGGTATGTTCCTTCAATGCCTAGGTATTTTTAAGGATTTTTAACATGCGGGGATGTTGAATTTTGTCAAAAGCCTTTTCTGCATCTATTGAGATGATCATGTGGTTTTCTAAAAATTCTGTTTATGTGATTAATCACATTTATTAATTTCTGTATGTTGAACCAACCTTGCATCCCAGGGATAAAGCCTACTTGATCGTGATGGATAAGCTTTTTGATGTGCTGCTGGATTCAACTTGCCAGTATTTTGCTGACGTTTTTGCATCTACATTAATTAAAGATATTGCCTAAAATTTTCTCTTTTTGTTGTGTCTCTGCCAGGTTTTGGTATTAGGATGATGTTTGCCTCATAGAATGAGTTAGGGAGGAGTCCCTCCTCCTCAATATTTTCAAACAGTTTCAGTAGGAATGGTACCAGCTCTTCTTTGTATGTCTGGTAGAATTCAGCAGTTAATCTGTCTGGTCCTGGGCTTTTTCTGGTCGCTAGGCTTTTCATTACTGATTCAATTTTGGAATTTGTTATTGATCTGTTCAGGGATTCAATTTATTCCTGGTTCAATCTTGAGAGGTTGCATGTTTCCAGGAATTCATCCATTTCTTCTAGGTTTTCTAGTTTGTTTGCATAAAGATGTTTGTAGTAGTCTCTGACAATTTTCTGTATTTTTGTGGATTTGGTGGTAAAGTCCTCTCTGTCCTTTCTGTTTGTGTTTATGTGGCTCTTCTTTTTTCCCTCTATTATTCTAGTTAGCAGTCTATCTATCTTATTTATTCTTTCAAAGAACCAACACCTGGTTTCGCTGATCTTTTGTATGTTTTTTTGCATCTCAGTTTCCTTCAGTTCAGCTCTGATTTTGGTTATTTCTTGCCTTCTGCCAGCTTTGGGGCTGATTTGCACTTGTTTCTCTAGTTTCTCTAGATGTGACGTTAGCTAGTTAATATGAAATCTTTCTACCTTTTTGATGTGGGCATTTAGGGCTATTAACTTCTCTCTCATACTGCTTTAGCTGTGTCCCAGAGATTCTGTTATGTTGTATCTTTGTTCTCAATAGTTTCAAAGAATTTCTTGATTTCTGCTTTAATTTTATTGTTTATCCAAAAGTAATTCAGGAGCAGGTTGTTGAATTTTCAGTCCAAGTTGAGAGTCAAATCAGTAATGCAATCGCATTCACAATAGCCACAAAACAATAAAATACCTAGGAATTCAGCTAAGCAGAAAGGTAAAAGATCTCTACAATTAGAGTTACAAAACTCTGCTCAAAAAATCAGAGATAACACAAATAAATTTTAAAAATTCCACGCTTATGGATAGGAAGGATAAATATTGTTTAAATGGCCATACTGGCCAAAGAAATTTACAGATTCAATGCTATTCCTATCAAACTCCCGACGACATTCTTCACAGAATTAGAAAAAAAAATTTAAACTTCACATGGAACCAAAAGAAAGCCTGAATAGCCAAGGCAATCTTAAGCAAAAAAGAGCAAAACTGGAGGCATCAGTTAACTGACTTCATACTATATTATAAGGCTACTGTAACAAAAACAGCATGATACTGGTACAAAAACAGATACATAGACTAATGGAACAGGGTAGTGATAAGAAAGTGGAGGGGCCTTCCTCTCTTCCTTACCTCCCTTTCTTCTATCTTCCCTCCACGCTTACTGTATGTTCAGTGCCAGAGTTACAAAATAAAGATTAATAGCATTTCATTCATTTGTGTTCTCAAGGAGTTCACAGGAGGGAGAAAATAGCTAACAAAATATAACTAAAAAGTAACATAAGAAATTATATTTATGTGTTCAAATTGTGAAGTTATATATAGAGAGTTATGTGTGCATGGTGGCATTAGCTAGAGGGCTGGTTCCACTTGGATATCGTCTGTTAGAATGTATAGGAGTTTGTACTTCAACCAAGTAAGATAGACAAGAAACTTTCCAAGAATTCCAAGCAGAGAGGCCAGCTTTAGGAGAGGCAAGGGGACATGTAAAAGTGTCATGGTGTATTTAAGGGAATGATAAACTACTTGGTGAAGTTGAATTAAGAGAGATAAAGGAAGAACCCCAAGGTAAGGATGAAAATATAAACCTGTAGAGTATCTGCCTTCATACATGCGGCATGTGTTAGACAAATGTTAGTTATAAAATCAAATAAAGAGAAGAATTTTAAATGGAGGAATCAAATTATTAGATTTGCCTTTTAGCACATAGAAATTACTGAGTGTTTAATGGTATGGCCAGGAACACTGAACATCATGAAATACAATCTACCTTACATAGCCTTGAAAACAGTATATTTTGAAAGGTTCAGAGAAAAGAATGATCTTATAGCTTCAGATGTGAAAAGAGAGAACTTGTTAAGAGACACCACAAGATGAAACTATTAACATATTGATTTTTCATATATTCAACAAGGTTTTATCAACTAACGACCTTGCCAGGGATTGCACTAAGTTCTAGGAATAGAGGTGTGAACAACACAATTGTGACTTCTGCACCTGTGGAGCTTTTAGTCCAGAACTTGCAGTCACAGCCCATTGGTTGTCTGTGAAGTGAATTTAATGTTTTCTGTGCAAACAGCAGCAGCAAAAGGAGGAGGAGAAGGAGGAGGAGGAGGAGGAGGAGGAGGAAGAGGAGGAGATGGAGGAGGAGGAGATGGAGGAGGAGGAGGAGGAAGAGGGGGAGGAGGAGGAGGAAGAGGAGGAGGAGGAGGAAGAAGAGGAGGAGGAAGAGAAAGAGGAGGGAGAGAAGGAGAAGTAGGAGGAGAAGAAGGAGGAGGAGGAAGAGAATGAGGAGGAAGAGAATGAGGAGGAGGAGGAGGAAGAGAATGAGGAGGAGGAGGAAGAGAATGAGGAGGAGGAGGAAGAGAATGAGGAGGAGGAGGAAGAGGAGGAGGAGAGGAAGAAAGACATAGCAAGGCACAGAATAGAGTAGAACAGAAAGCAATGGGGCACATTCACATAGTGGGAGGAAGAACTGCTTCATTAAACTACTCTTTCATGAAATCCGTCTATTAATACATGCACTGGGTCATGACTAAGATGTATGTCTTACTGGGGTCATGGTTAAAAGAGTTTGAAAAGCCACTGTTTTTAAGCACATGCCTTTGAGTCTTCGCTGAAATCCACTTAAGATACAATAATGCAAGTCTCCTAATTTCTCAGAACCTTCTCTGTTAATTTCATACTATCAGGTTCTCTCTCTTCTGCTCCTGTTCCCACCCTTCTCTTCCATTCTTTTGGCACTTACTTAATTTATTTCTTGTGGTTATTCACATTTGTAGGGATAGATCGATAATTATTTAATGAATAGACTTAGATTTATTGAGGACCTACATCATGTTAAGCTCTGATGATTTGAAGGTGTTTTAAAACAAATAAGATTCCCTACCAAAAATAGAGTTTATAATTTAGTAGAAGAGACAAACAATGAAAAAATTACAAAAATAACTATGTAATTACAAACTTTGATAAGGGATATCTGAGAGAAGTTCAGATTGCCAGAAGAGTATAAAAGTGGTGTGTGTGTATATGGACAGAGGTGGGATGTTTCTGAACAAGCTGGGGTGGGATAGCATGGGTCAGGAAAAGAGGTATTCATTTTCTAAGTCTGTTATAATAAATTACCACAAACCTGGTGGCTCACAACATCCAAAATGTATAGTCTCACAGTTCCAAAGGCTAGAAGTGAAAAATCAAGGTGTTGGTAGGGCCATGCTCCCTTCGAGGCTCCAGGGGAGATGCCTCTTCCTAAATCCTTGTAATTGCCAGCCAGCTTTGCTGTTTCTTGCCTTATAGCTGCATCACTTAGATCTCTGCTTCTGCTGTCACTTGGCATTTGTGCCTGTGTGTATCTTGTGCATTCTGTACTCTTTTTTTTTATAAGGGCATCAATCATTCGATTTAGGGCATATTCTAATTTAGTATGATCTTAATTAATTACATCTGCAAAGACCCTATTTCCAAATAAGATCTCATTCTGAGGTTTCAGATGGACATGAGTTTTGGGGGACATGATTCAACCCACTACAAATGGCTCTCCTGAGCTAAGAGCTGGAGAGTGAAAAGGGAGATTAGGCAAAGAAAGTGGTCCAGAGAGGGGGAAGAGTGTGACTGGGAAGGTGTGTGGGAGAGGAAAGCAAGTGAGGTCAAAGCCTCAGGGATGGGGAGGTTGAATGTGGTATAACTGTGGGCCCCCTTATGGGGATCAGATAGTGCAGGGTCTGATCTGCTGTGTTAAGGGGTTGGGTCTTAGGATGAGAAGCAGTGGGAGGGCAATATCTTATTTGTACAGCTGGCCTTGACCATGAAAAATGCTTTGCCTCATGGATGCTGAGGATTATTCTGTATTCTTGACATATATCTCCTGTTCTTTTAAGTCCTACCTGAACAGGCCTTCTGAGAAAATTCCTCCCTGAAATCCCCATTCTCTGGAGCACTCCATCCTTGGGAGGTGGATAAAATTCATCACATCCCAAATTAAGAGATGAAAATGAATTGTGTTATCACTGTCTTGCTTCTTACTCTTCAGCCACCTGGATTGGGTGTCCCATCATAGTACCCCTGCAGGACTCTGTTCCCTCCATCTCAAAACCTGTTACACTGCAATGAAATGGACTGCTGACTTGTCTCTTTTTCTACATGTAAGTGTGAATGTCCCCAGGACAGATAGTTGCTAAGCCCTGATGCCTAGAACACTGTTTAGCAATAAATATTTGGTGAGAGAATGAAGGAAGGAAGGAATTGGAGGGGCAAAATTTTCTCTGTCAAGGAGGCAAAGACTTTACTCCCCAAAGCAAGAAAATGGCAAAAGAAATCTTGTATGTGTTTCAATGTTGTCTCTGTAGACCATTTTCACCTGTCTTCCAGAAAAACTGTGGCCAAAATGGTCTTTTGCCTCCATCCTGGGGCAATCTCTCAGGTTACACTGAATACACTCCATGAGTGTGGCATGAGCACTAAGGGAGGAAGGGCACTTCTGATAGAGCCACTTATTCTACTTTGTGGTCCAATACATGCCCCATGCAGCTTGGGAGGTGAATAAAGTTCATCACTTCTCCTATTAGGAGTTGAAAATGAATTGTGTTATCACTGTCTGGCTTCTTACTTTTCACCCACACACCTGCTTGGGAATTTTTAGCTTTAATTTTGTAAGATCCACACTTAGGATATATAAGCTGGACTCACTGTCCTGTTTGGATTTTATTGATATGCAGAATTACTGAATTTTCCTCCAGAAATCCTCCGACATCGCCTCCTCAGTACCCACCTTCCTTCCAGGCTAGATGAAAACAATGTTTCATTTCATCCACAGATTGAAAGAAATCAATTAGATGCCAATGTCAGTGTGATTCAGTGGGCACTAGGCAGAGGCTGGGGGATTGTTACTGGCTCTGTGGGTGGATAGGAAAGCAAAAGGCTGAGAAATAAGAATTACCAGGATGGAAGCTGTGAAAGTGTTTTTTAAGATGATGGCACATAGCACACCAGAGCTATTAGCAGAGGGAGAGTCTGGCATCTTGTGAAGACACAAGTAAAAATATCCTTTTGGCATCCAGGAGTCCTAGAGATCTGATTCTACCCTAACAATTCTGGCTTGGCCCCCAGGTCCCCTCTGAGGCTCCTAGCAATGGATGCCGGGAAGGTGACTGAAGCTCTGAGAGCCAACTCTTCGTGAAGCACTTCAGGCTTTTTTCATCTGCAGGCTCAGCTAACCCTCTCAACGGCTCTTTGAGAAAGGCCAGGTTATGTCACAGACAGATCAGGGCTCTTAGGGTCCAAGAGGTAAGTAGCTTGAACAAGGTCTTTTATTCATTCTACAAGTATGTGTTGATGTGTTGTCACCTTTTCAGTGCCAGGCTCTGCAATGGGCATGGGGACACAGAGGTTAAGAAGATAAGTAAAATGCATGCCCTCAAAAAGCTTCCGAAGATAGATAACTAGTAATTATACAAACAAAAATGTAATTTCAGAGAGTGATTGGTGCCATGGAAACAATAAATGGTGCGATGTGATTAAGAATGACTACAGGTCTATTTTAGATGCTGTGGTCAGAGAAAGACACATGGTAGAGGTGACATTTGAGCTGAGAATGCTTGATGAGAAGGGGCCAGGCATGAGGCTATCTGGGAAAGAGGCTTCAGGCATGGGAACTGTAAATGTTAATTGTCCTCGGTTGGGATAAGCTTGGTATGCTCTGGGGGTAGAAAGAAGGCCAGTGTTGGGGGAGCATCATGAGAAAGGGGTCACATAGGCCCCCAAGTTAGGGCTGGATCAGAGAAGAAGAAACACTGCAAATTATATAGGCAAGGCATTTATTCTGAGGGCTTGACCTTGCCCAAATGTGAGAACTAGTTAAGCTGTCTATTCAAGGCTGTTGCTTCTATATCTGAATTCAGCAGAACAGGCAATTGGGAAGAAAGATGGACATGGAGTCAGGGATACCAATGATGTTCGTGACCAGCAGGAGAAGCTGACACCTTTTGCCATGAAGTTGCACACACTGGCCCCAAATCTGAAGTAACTAAAGAAGAAGATCCAATAGGAGTGAGAGTTGCTGCTGCGATGTCATCAGAGCGAGCTAGCAGGACAGTGGCAGCATATGTGTGAGTGGTAATAGCACCTGGACTCTATATCAACCATCAGGAAGAAGAAAAAAAAAGGTGCTATTTTTTTCCCTACCACCTTCCTAATCTCATTCAAAATGTCTCTTATGGTCAATGTATCCTGAAGCTATACAGGGAATTCCGGAAATTCTGAGAAGACTAGTTCCAGCTTAGCTAGGTCAACACAGTTCAAAGCCCACATACTCCTCTTTGACAACTTGGCATCCATTTATATGTCCTTTAGCCATTTTGAACTTCTCAACAAAAATAATGCAGACTATTTTTTCACCTAATGTAAAAGCAAATATCCTTTATATTTAACCAAAAAAAATCTCGTAACTATTACAGTTTTTGTTTCTGTAACTTGTTGTATCCTTAGCTCTTATTTTTAACTTCCTTTTACTACATAAATTTTACATTCCCTTTGCGCTCTGCAAGCAGATTGGCTTCTTTTGGTTCTGTGCCTGGTGGGTTACCCTAAAGTTTATTCCTGAAAGGTCTGGGTCATTGGCAGTTCTACAGGTATTGGGTTGTAGTTTTTCATTTGACTTTAACCACAGGACATGAGAGTGCTCAGAGGCACGTCAGGGTATCATCTCCTTCTGGACGTACTCCTCCTTATCCCGACTGTGTAACAACAATCTAATTTCCTCTGAATAGTCAGGATCAATCACCTGGGTTGGTACAGTAAACCCTTTCTTTGCCTGTTGAGCACAGACATGAGAGACTTAAAGTGGCCGAATGGAAGTCTTGACTTCCAGTTTAATCAAATCATCACTGTGTCCCAATGGCAGAACCTATCCCTCCCTAAGACCTCTAGACCAAAGTTGCAAGGATGAAAAGCAAAAATATCACTGGTGGATTGCTAGGTACTATGAGGGAAGAAGCCACTCTCGTTTCTATCTCTTGATTCTCAGATCTGTGATCCAGGCTATGGGAAACACACCATATGTTGGATAGTGATTGAGGGCATGCACTATAACATTTTGGGGGACATTACCCCAGCCTGTAAGATTTAACCAGGTTAGTGTCATAGCTGAGTCTTCTCACAAAATCTGTTCCAGTTGTTTATTGCTGAGTAATGAGTCATCCCAAAGCATGGTGGTTTATAGCAATAACAACCATTTAATTCTTATTATCTTTTGCAGGTCTGGGGGATGATTTGGCTAGGTGGTTCTAGCTCAGGGTTTCTCATGTGGTTATAGTCAGCACAGAGAATGAAGCTATCTCAAAGGATCCCACAGTCCCATGTCTAGTGTTAATTTTGGCTGTTGACTGGGACTTCAGCTGAGACTGCCAGTCCAAAACATGTACTTATGGGCTCTCCTTGTGGCTTGGGCTTCCTCAGAGCATGGTGGCTGGGTCCAGGAATAAGTGTACCACGATATAGGAAGTGGACCAGTTTTTAAGGTCTGGACCTGGAAACTGGAACAGCAACACTTCCACTACATTCAATTGAGAAAGTCACACAGCATAGAAGAAAAGGGAGAAAACCTGGACTCATCTCTTATTGAGAGGAGCATCAAAAATTTTTGTGGCCATGTTTTACAACCGTTACCAGAAAGGTCCCAATCCAGACCCCAAGAGGAGGTTCTGGGATCTTGTTGGTGCAGGAAAGCATTCGGGGCGAGTCCATAAAGTGAAAGCAAGTTTATTAAGAAAGTAAAAGAATAAAAGTATGGCTACTCCATAGACAGAGTAGCAGCATGAACTGCTCGACTGAGTATACTTTTAGTCATTTCTTGTTTATGCTAAACAATGGGGTGGATATTCATGACTTTTTAAAGAAAGGGGTGGGCAATTCCTGGAACTGAGGGTTCCTCCCACTTTTAGACCACATAGTGTAACTTCAGGACATTGCCATGGCATTTGTAAACTGTCATGGTGCTGGTGAAAGTGTCTTTTAGCATGCCAATGCCTTGTAATTAGCATATAATGAGCAGTGAGGACAACCAGAAGTCATTTTCATCACCATCTTGGTTTTTATGGGTTTTGGCTGGCTTCTTTTCTGCCTCCTGTCTTATCAGCAGGATCTTCATGACTTGTATCTTGTGACACCAATCCTGCCAACCTCCTCTCTCATCCTGTGACTAAGAATGCCTCATCTCTTGGCAATGCAGCCCAACAGGTCTCAGCCTCATTTTACCCAGCCCCTATTAAAGATGGACTTACTCTGGTTCGAACGCCTCTAACACAGCTGACAGAGATAGTAATGGACAGAGTCAGTTTTTAAATGCAGATCTGGAATTAGAATTCCAAAGGTTGAGCATTCTCTACTTCTTTATGCTGCCTGTGATTAAGAATCCTGGGTTTTAGTTCTAAATCAGCTACTGGCTAATTCTATGAGGTCGAAGAAGGAATTGTTTTCTTCACCAATGATCTGTGAAAGTGGTGGCATATATAAGGAATTAGGTTCCCCCAAATTCTAAGGTACTGTGCTTTCTCAGTGTCCTGGGTAAAGTCATATCATGCCTGATTTTTCTCATATTGAGGCCTCCTTGGAAGCCTTCTCACCCCTTTCCATAAATGAAATACCCAGATGAAATCCTACCTCCTCTAGTACGGTAGGTGGAGGTAGTATCTTATCACGCAGTTTAACATCACGTCCCATAATGTGGTATTTTATCTATTGATTAACTAATTTACTATTTCACTCTATTGCAAAGATTAGAAGTTTTTTTCCCTAACTTTCCTGATTGTTTTGGAAGGGAGCAGGGAATAGCGGAAAGAATACTGGATCTGGCTCCCATTTTGCCTTTGCCAGAACTCACTTTTTGAGACTGGGCAAGTCATGCCATCTTCTCTAGGCCTCGACTGTTCCATCAACAAAATGGGGTAAGGAGGAAAGGGTTGGGTAAGGTGATGTCTAAGGCTGCTTTGACTGGTTTCTCAAAGGCATATATAGGATAGTTTAGGTGAATGGGGACATGACTGATCCTTTTACATCTTAGAACCTTGCACATAGAAAGAGTTTAATGTATTTGTCCTCTCAACATGGTGATTTCTTTTGTCTTATAGAATTTCCCATGTCTGTCTGGTATCCTCAGTGAGGTTATGGGCTCCTTAAGAAGGACACAAAAAACTGATACTCGTTGCATACTTGCTGAATTGACACTGAGAATTTAGAAATAGCTGAACATTCAATTTGGACTAAGATGAGGGGATCATAAGAAATATCACCCAAAACACACTGTGATTACTTTAGCTCGATGTGTAAGCCTCTCCTGGGTGCCTCCTCTGATCAAGCATCGTTCCAGGCACTCTGTGCACCCTGTGATATAGTAGAAGTGGTCCTTGGCCTTCAGAACCTTCAGTGAAGTGTAGAAAATTTAAGTGGAACTGTGACAGATGTTAAACTATAAGTCAAGAATGACTTGAAATATAGACAATAGGGAAGATTAATTCTAAACATGGAGGTAATCAAGAAGGTAGGATCAGATTAGTGATTTGAAGGGCAGCATTGATTCTAAGGGAAGAGGTGGGTAAAAGACATCCTAGGCCAGATAAAACAAGACAAAAAGAACACAGCTGGGAAGTACTGAGAATGCTTAAAGAAAGGAGAGAAGCACAGCCTACCTGATGTTTATGTACATGCAGTGGGAGAGGAGCACAGAAGGTAAGAAGAGTGACAATGGTATTTGAGGCCACTCCATGGATGCACAGGACACTCTTGGGAATATGAATCTTCATCATGCATGTGATGAGGAGCCATGGTTGATCTCATGGAAGTGTACTATGATCAGACCTACATTTGGGATATTTCTCCTTCCCCCTACATAGGAAATTTTCATGTGCCAGTCAACATGGGGGATAGAGAGGTAAATAACACATGGTCCCTGCCCACAAGGAGCTCATAGTGTGTATACAAAAAACAAAATAGAAGAGAATAAAAAATTATGGTTAAAGTCTTAAGGACCAGAGGAAGGGGCGAGTAATTATACCTAGGGAGAAGGTAGGGGTTCATTCTTGAATAGAATGCAGAGGAGGAATATGGAGGCAGAGGGAAGACTTAGAAGGACTATTCCTTCATTTATTTGATAAACATCAGTGGAGTGCTAACAACATGTCAGGTCCTTTTGTGGATGCTGGAGACAGAGGTGCGCAAGGCAGGCAGGATCCTCTGTCTCCAGGGAAATTACATGAGGGTGGAAAGAGACAACTTAGAATACAAAAACCAAGCAATGACAATGTCTAACATTTACTGAGCTCTTAACAATGTGCCAGACACTGTTCTAAAGGCTTCTGATGAGTTAACTTAATCTTCAGGCCCAGCTTGGGAGGTAGGTGTTGTTATTTTCGCCCCGTTTGTAGATGGGAAGCTGAGATAGAGATTGAGGTCAGATAACTTTCTTGAGATTACCTAGTTAACAAGTAGTGGAAGCAGGATTTAAACCTAGATAGCCTGGGCAGGACAGTTCTCTGGTGGTCTTGGACTGATCCAATTTCTTCCTCTTTTCTCTTGTACTAAAGAATAACTATAGAATATGCTGGGAATGCAATATCCAGAAATAGGGAGGGACTGGCTGGAACAACTCAGGCTCTGTTCCAGTCCTCTCCTAGAAACAGAATGTACTTCAATGCATTCATCTCAGTGAGTCGTGTGACCCTGGGATATATAATCAAGGGTGGGCTGCCTTTTGGGGTCCCTCAGCTGCACAGTGTAACTGGGCCACATACAGTTAAAACTCCATCCACCCTGGGCATATTTTTTGGGTCTTGAGGATTGGCTCACCTTGAATTGTAGCTTTCTGTTGTCCCTTGCTTCTTATCTGTAAGAAATACATCTGATTCATGTAACTTGTGTGGGTGTTTTATCTCACTGGATTCAGACGAGTTGGTAACCAGTGAGGAGTGAGCCTGACTCACTGACCCCAGATACTAAGATCTTAACAACAGAACTGCATCGCCTCTTCACACATAGGGTCAAGAAATTTCAGAGAGTGAGAAGTGACATGAAGAAATGAAACTAAGGCAATGGGGTAGAGAGTGACCAAGTAGGGCAGGGCTGGTGCCACTCTTTCAGAAGTATCCTGTTACAGTGATGCTTGAAGCATATCTGAATAATATTTGAAGGATATCTGAATGATGGGGAGGATTTGGCCATGAAATGACCCCAGCAGAGGGTCTAATGGCTGTCACTGAACCATTGAGAGTGGAGAGAAAAGCAACAAATAGGCAATTTGTCTCTTGGCTGAATGTATGAGTCAAGAGAGGTTGGGCTGGAGATGCTTTCCAAGGACAATGGCACCCAGGTGGCATCGGGAAGGATGCCCAGCATTTACCTGCTTCCCAGCCTCTCCCAGAAGACTCCCCCTCACTGTGTAGCTGTCCTGGATCCCAGCCCGCTACTACTCTCCCCAAGTCCCAACCATTTCTGGGCAATGGTCATTGGCCCAGGGCTCCTACCGAAAGTTTAATGATACAGACAGGCAATTTGGGCTTTGAGCAGGTAAACGTGTACTTCTTAGTTTTGCCAGAGCCGGAAGCCAAGTCTCAGGGAGCAAATATGTAAACCAGGTGTCTTTGGGGTGGGCAAGACATTAAGGCTCACAGCAGAAGGCTGAAGGGCTGTCTGCTGGTCAGAAGACCAGAAGTCTCTTCTAGAAGCTTGTGAGGGAGGCCCGGTCTTTCAAAAGAACTCTGGCTAACTTTCTGGCAAGCCAGATGGAAAAACAAAATTGCAGTTAGAACCCTGGATCAGGAACTTGGAGATCTGACTATTTGTACTGTTCCAGCTGCCAGATTATGGTGTGATCTTGGCCAAGTCATTATCTCTCTCTGGGCCTTATTCTCCTTTGTGAGATAAAGGCATAGATTTGAGTGAGCTCCAAGATTCCTGGCGGGTGCTTTGTTGCTGGAGATACAGCATCCAACATGTGGGGTAAACTCCACATAGGGAAGCCACAAAGCAGGGGGAGCAATAAAAAAATTGTTTTTCCAAATAATTTCATACTTCAATATTTCAACAAATGCATCTAAGTCACTATCATGGAGAAAAGTCAAAACTTTGTGGGACTACTGTATTTTTATTTTGAGACTGTGGATTTTTTAAGGTGGGAAATACAGGACGATCAGGAAGCATCATCACTGTAACCTTTCAGTGCTGATCATCTCTGAAGGTGCTAAGTCAGGCTTGCTCAGTCCTGCTCCTGCCCTGACTCATGTCTGAGGTTGGAAAGGGGGGTTCTACCTGCCTTGCCAGATTGCTGTTTTTAATAGAGAACTCATGTTTTTACCAACAGTTTTAAAAACATGGCACTTAGGGATGGTACCTGTCTGTGTCATTGGGCTTGAGGAATCCCCACCAAATGTCTGCTTCCATTTCTCTCTGAAGCCAGGTTTTGTGCTCAGGACTGAGAATCCACTTTGAAGAATGAATTTGTAAAGTGCAGACGCCCTGGTTCTCAGGGGATGTGAGAGCAGATGTTTCTACAGATCCTGCAAAGTTTGCTGTATGTGTTCTTCCAACTTATAGGCTTCTACACAATCCCTATTGCAATTACCACTGTGATTTTTTTTTTTTGAGATGGAGTCTCACTCTGTCACCCAGGCTGGAGTGTAGTGATGAAATCTTGGCTCATTGCAACCTCCACCTCCCGGGTTCAAGCGATTATCCTGCCTCAGCCTCCCGAGTAGCTGGGATTACAGGCACCCGCCACCACACTCAGCTAATTTTTGTATTTTTAGTAGAGACAGGGTTTCACTATGTTGGCTAGGCTGGTCTCGAGCTCTTGACCTCAAGTGATCTGCCCACCTCAGCCTCCCAAAGTGCTGGTATTACAGATGTGAGCCACCACTGTGATTCTTTAATTATGGAGGCTGATGGCAAATTGGCCACTGGGCCAATTAGCCTTACACATAGTAGGCTGGGGAGAGGTCAGTTGCCCACGTTAGTGTATTATTTCTCAGAGAAATGGACATGGTGTTTCAAATTTGGATGCTACTTTCTTGAACAGGGTGATTTGTCTTCTTAGTACTTTTCTTGTCTTTTAAAATTTTATTTTATTTAAAAAGAGTTTCAGAGTTACCTGCTTCTCCCAGAGAGACGAGGACAGATTGCCTCCAGCAGGGGCACAGCAGACAAAAGGCACAGACTGACCTGGGCAGCCCTTGCTAGGCAACCAAGCTATGAAATCACAGCTCACTGGCACCAGCCCAAGCCTCTCTCTTCCCCTGGGCTCATGACCAGAGGTGGGTTATGACCTTGAAGGCAACAGATGAAGCTTAAGATACAGGAGTCCCACTTGCACAATGTCCTTTTGAGGGATAGGGTAAGCCCTAGCAATATGTCCACGTGAGGATATCATGTTGTTAAACTGGCAAAGCTAAGATGTCTTCACCACAATAAGTTCAGACAAATGTCCCTTCATGCTGGATGGCTGTTGGTTTGCAGTGACTCTGACCATCTTTGGTATCTAGCAAAGGGGATATCGAGATAGAGAACCCTCTGTTTGGGATTAGTGAGATGTATTTATATGGCTGCAACCGCTTCTGTTTGTGCTAGTAATCATGCTATTGTTGGTAATCTCAATATAGGTTGGTTTCCAGTGGGCAACTGATTACCTGCTGTGCCAATTCTCTTTGCATTGTGATCTGAAGATGGGCCTGGGGTCTACTATGATATGAAAATGTCCTACAGTACCTGGCATTGGAGGTGTATGGGTAGTGGGAGAAAAACAAGGTTTGAAATCTACAGAGTCTGAAAGTAGGTCATGGGGCATTCCTCCCATCATTAGAGGGTGTACATTTGTTGGTGAAGGATTGATTCATCTCCCATCAACACCTTGTCAGCCTGAAGTTCCTTTGTCAGAAATATACTTGATAATGCGGTATGTACAATTATAAGCAATTGCATTCTATTTTTGGGGGGAGGCAGGCGGTGTCTTTTGAGAAGCGAATTGTGGGAAAGAGAGTTTATCGTAATTCCCGCTTTTAAGGCACAAACTTGTAGCTATTACCACAAACAGTAAGGGCATCTGTCACAGCTCATTCGTGAAGTGCATGTGAAAGAAGATTTAACAAATTTTGACTATAATCCTAAACATTTATATGGCATTACCAATGTTGATTGTGAAGCTAAAAGAAATGTCTTCTCTCTCTATAAACCATTAATAAAATTGTTTTGATCAATTAGAGAGAAACAAGATAATTAATTACTTAATTATCTTGTTTAATTAAACCTGGTCATCTCCTTCTCTTTTGAC
Organism: Homo sapiens; assembly: GCF_000001405.40. Taxonomy (NCBI): domain Eukaryota; kingdom Metazoa; phylum Chordata; class Mammalia; order Primates; family Hominidae; genus Homo; species Homo sapiens. The sequence goes on along the minus strand of NC_000022.11, from coordinate 34,703,695 downwards.
AGCAGGGAGGCTGTTATTATCTAATTATTCTTTCTATTCTTTTAATTATCTTTCTGTTCTTTCTATAGGATAATAGTGCAAAATTCTTGTCATGTGGAGAACTTATCAAAGATTATGCTGCCAAAAGTTTAAGACAAAAAATGTATTGTAGAAGTGTTTCATTAATAAAAATATGGTGTTAGTTTTCTGATATTGTGGTGTGTTTTATTCAACTTTTTTCACATTTTAAAATATCATTTTAAACCTAATTTTGTATTTTCTTTCTTAAATAGGGTCCAAATTGTATATGTGTCATATCCTATAAAGCATGGATCCATCCCATCCTCTATTGTGGCCACAAATGCCTTCCACAGTAACCTGCAGCCGACCTACTACTGACAAATCCCAGCAAATGTGTGGTAGTCACTTCTCTTCCTCGGGTCTGCAGGGACTCAGGGTGCAGCACTGTTCTCAGATTTGGGCTGGAGCTCAGTATGACTGTTGGGGTCTCCTGCTACCCCTGGAGCCTCCATGTGCTCCACTCGGGTTGGGATCCAGCAGTGCAGAGGTGAACTCTGGGCGCTTGGAAGGCAGCAGCCTCTCCTCCAGCCACTCCTGCAGCCCCCTACTCTACTCTCTGATCTCCCACCAGAGTCACTCTGTTCAAGGGTATGGGTCTCTGTCCAAGCTTGATCTAATTCAGGCCAAAGCATACACTTGGGTCAGGCTCAGTGGGATGGTAGAGTGAGTAAAAATGAATAGCAATGAATAAAAGAGCCCTTCCCAACTGCCAGATGAAGGAAGACAGTAACATGCAATGGAAAGTAGGCACTTTTGGAGGCTGAGTGGAGGGAACAAAGGGCATGGAGACCTTCTTAATCATTTATAATAAAGATGAGTCACGCTACACCCACTGCTAATAATACTCCTCCATAAGAAGAACAACTGTTATTTCCATTTGTCCAGAAAACAAACTGGTGTGCAAACTTGTGCATTTTGCAGCATTTAGTCCAGTACTTGGTGTACAGCAGGTACTCAACAGATTGCAGTTAAATGAATGAAATGTGCTCACTTTGTGTCCGACACTGTAGAAAATGCTCTTCATACACCGTTTCATTTAAAACAAACAATAATCTTATGGCAGAGGCAATAAAAGTATCCAGTTTCCCAGATGAGAAAACTGAAGTGGGTGTAAGTTATTGCCAAAGTCCCACAGGAAGTAGAGGCAGGTTCTGAATGGTATGGTTTTCTTGCCTCATGCTAAGTCTGGCAAACTGCCTTCCCTTACTTCCTCCTCATTCCTAGCAAAATCCCAGCCCAGTTGGTTGGAACCTGGGAGCTCCCACTGCCAGTCTTTGGGCTGCTCCTGGAGCTTGCTGCCTGCAGAGACAGGTGTTCTGAAATGAGACTAGAACTGACAGCTCTCAGGTGTTCAGCCACTGGCTGGCCTTGCTACCTGGCCTGCTTCATTGATTGGCTGGATATGGTCTCCTTCTGAAATTAGGGCTCATGTGGCTGCTAACACTGAATCTGCAGAGTGTGGCCAAGTTGTCCTGCATAACAGGTCTAGGCTCATGCCTCCCTGCCACCTGTGCAAGCGATTCTGCTCGTTTAGCTTTCCCTTCCACCCTGCCTACCACTGCATCTTTTTTTTTTTTTTTTTTTTTTTTTGGAGAAGGAGTTTTGCTCTTGTTGCCCAGGCTGGAGTGCAATGGTGTGATCTCAACTCACTGCAACCTCCACCTCCCAGGCTCAAGTGATTCTCCTGCTTCAGCCTCCTGAGTAGTTGGGATTACAGGTGCCTGCCACCATGCCCGGCTATTTTTTTGGTATTTTTTTTTTTTTTTTTTTTTTTTTTTTTTTTTTTTTTTTTAGTAGAGATGGGTTTTCACTATGTTTATCAGACTGGACTCGAACTCCTGACCTCAGGTGATCCACCCGCCTCGACCTCCCAGTGCTGGGATTACAGGCATGAGCCACCGTGCCCGGCCTGCATCTTTTTATTTATACTGTTATTAGTATTCTCAGTGTTTTGTACCTGCCTCCTCCGGTAGACTGTGAACTCCCAGAGGTAGGGACCTCATGATATGTCTCCCTGGATCCCTGTGCCCCATATGGAATGCCATATGTCTAGATAGGGTGGGAGTTTCACAGAGTAGTTCCAATATAGGTTCTGCCCTTTACTGGCCATCTTAGGCCAATAACCTGTTTCTTCAGTTTTCTCATCTGTAAAGAAGTGGGGGGTAAAAATAGGTTGTATCTGATTAACTTAGTTAATATACATAAGGACTTAAAGTGGTGCCCAGCACAGAGAAGCTGTGTCAGTGTGAGTCATTATTTGTAGTGACCACAGGGCACTTTTCCTTTGTTCCATTTTTAGGGTGTTGATAGTCTACATGATACATTTTCACACCCGCCATCGGCTTCTTGGAGTTTTCCTCTGATTGTTTCTTATGGGGAAGTAATTGGTTTTTTTGTTTCAGTTACATTTTGTAAACTGTCACATTAAGGATAGGTAAGATGCTTGTAGCTTTTAACCTGGTTTGAGTTATGGACTTCTTCACAATTATCTGATGAAAATTATGTCAGCCTCTGCCCTGCAAATGCACATGGGCTCATACATGCAAAGTACTACTTACTGATGTGAGAGGTTTCACAGTCTCACTGCCAGCAATGGCTCTGCGGTCAAGAATACCAGGCTTGACTCCAGATACAGCTCTGTCACCAATGTGCTGTGTGTTACTGAGCAACAACTGTCCCTCTCTGGGTTTCTGCACAATAAGCAACAATCGAATCTCTATGGACTCTTCTAGCAGGGGACATTCCATGCTTTCAATTCTCTGCTTTGCCAAGCAATAACTCCCTTCTAAATCCCATTAGATCAGATGGGAGGGGAACAAAACAAAAACAACCAGAATACATTGCAACTAAAAGCTTTCTCTTCTCTTCATAGAGCCTTTTAGATGTGATAGACAGGGAGAAAGCTTCGTAAATCCCTAGTAAGCCAGGAGCTTGACTAAAATGACTGTGAGGTGGGATGGGAAGCGCCGTTTGCCTCCTTACCTTCTATGGCTGGAATCAGGCTCGTCGAAAGTCAACAGGATGGCACTCTGCAAAACACCCTATCCGAAAACAGAGGTGGAGGGCTCAATGGCTGCACGTGTGATGGCAACCAAGCCTCAGGGGCCTGCTCTCCCCACCCCCTGTTCCTTGAGCCCCTTGAGAATTATGGACAGCTGGGGGCTTGGGGGCATGTTTCAATGTAAAAGAAAGTAAGGCCAAATGCTTATAAAAGGTCAAATATTTTATGTCCTTTCTCCCCAGTATCAATGTATACCTGGAAGGTGGAGAAGACAGAATGACAAGTTTAGAAAATGGAGAAAGAGGAATGGATTTATATAGAAAGCTGACCCCTGAAAATAAATCTTTAGGCTCATGCAGCTGAGCTAGCTTCTGCTAAGCAAGCAGTGTGTCAGTAGACACGTAGCCAGCGTTTACCATCTGCTTTGTATATGCAAGCTCAGGCCCGATGGGCTCCTTGACAATAATAAGGGCAAAATCAATAATGGCCAATATTTATTAAGTATTTATGTGCCAAGTATTTATGTGCCTAAATGAAATGTGTTATCTCATTTATTCTCTCAACAATCCTGGGAGGCTGGTTCTGTTATGGGCCTGATTTTGCAGACAAAGAAACTGAGAAAAAGAGTGAGTTAGTTTGCCTAAGGTCATATAGCTAGCAGGTAGTGGAGCCAGAATTTGACCCACATCTCTCTGATTTCAGAACCCTTTCCTAAAGTAGTCAATATTAGCCTCCAGATGAGGAGATTAAGGATCAGAGAAGTAACACAAGGAAAGAGAGAATCAACCTTTATTTAGAACCTATTTGAATGCAGCCCTTTACTTGGTATTTGACATCTGTTATGGCATGTATTCCCAGAAAACCACATGAAGGAGGTATTGATATTTTGACTTCACAGATGAGACTCCTAAGGCTCAGACAGGTTAACTAAGTTTACCAGAGTCACACAGTAATTGTCCTAGATGGGATTCTTACTAAGGGCAAAGTTGCTTCTCTGCAACTTCTTTACTTTAGAGCCAGATTGATAGGCATAGAAAAGGTAGGGGAGTCAGGGAAATTAAAGTTGCAAAAGTGACATGAGAGGGTTCCGTGTGGAGCTGAGAGCTCACTGGGTAGGGAGATAAGACAGGAAGGAGGGGCAAGGACCCAAACAACTAGGCCAACAGAGCCTGAAGTGAAGGGAGTGAAGGGTACACCTGTTCAGTGCCAACAGCCTCCCTGCTGTCACAAGAAAAGGAGCTGACCATGGTTAAGAATGGCAAAGGGCATTCTAGGGTGGGGACACATGCATACTCAGGATGGACGGGCTCCAGCTACAGGAGAGTTCTGTCGTGCAGTTTGCTCCATCACTTATTCATTTACCCATTCGTTCCTCAGCTATTTTTTGAGTGTCTGATGTGGGTTAGGCACTGTACTGCCCTGAGGATGTAATGGTGAGTGAAACTGACATTGTTTCTGCTCTCTGGAACTGGCAGTCGGTTGGGAGGGGCAAGAATCAAATAATGACTCAATTATTATTAATTGAATGATTATACAAATGAATTTAGCATTGTAAATTGAGATAAGTGACATAAAAAGGGACACAATTCCATGAGCGCACCATGCTTCCATCCAGCTGTACCCTAGTGTATTCGTCCATTCTCACACTGCTATAAAGAACTACTGGAGACTGGGTAATTTATAAAGAAAAGAAGTTTAATTGACTCATAGTTCCACATGGCTGGGGACACCTCAAGAAACTTACCATCATGGTGGAAGGTGAAGGATAAAAAAGCACCTTCTTCACAAGGTGGCAGGAGAGACAGAGAGCAAAGGGGGAAGAGCCACACACTCATCAAAGAAACCAGATCTCGTGAGAACTCACTCACTATCTCTAGAACAGCATAGGAGAAACTGCCCCCATGATCCAATCACCTCCCACCAGGCCCCTCTCCTGACATGTGGGGATTACAATTTGAGATGAGATTTGGGTGGGGCCACAGGGCCAAACCATATTACCTAGAAACTGGTGCTTCAGAGTTGGAAAAGATTTGTAGGTGTTTTCCTGGTAAGGCTCTATCAAAGGGACCATGATGTGCAAAGGTCCTGTGGTGGGAGGTGCTCTCCAGGAGCTAAAAGGAGATCAGAGGAGCTGGTCATTGAAGGGTGGGGTGTGAGATGTGGTGGTAAGCAGGGGTCAATTCTGGCTGGACTTTGAGCTTCCCATGTAGTAATTTAGTAATTTGGAAGCCTACTGACAAGTTTCAAGCCATGGTAGGGATGGGGATGGTGGCTTAAGTTCAATGGTAGGCTACAAAGCAAGATGCCTTAGAGAAGCTGGCGCAGGGCAGGTTACCCAGGAAAGGCTCAAGCCTTGGGTAAGAGGCACAAGGGGGAGGTCTGGGACCCAGGAAACAGGCAGAGGCCTCGTTTCTACAACTGGGATGGGACTCAAAGTTAGCAGGAAGGGAGCAGGGACATCTTTAGGTTGTAATTAAACTAGAGATTCTTGAAATCGCATCTCTCCTCCTTCCTAGGAACTGGATTAACTATGGCCTGTACCTGGGCAGGGACAACTGTGTCTGCAGATGAGGGTCAAGTGATACCCACTGGAAGCTGAAGGGCTGCAGGATGGGCCATGGAAAGTTCAGGACGAGCTTGAAATCAGGAAGTGTTCCTGAAGGACCTAGACTTGATCTTGTCTTTAAGGAGCTGTGGAGGGAAAGACGGATAAGGGGGAGGGAGGAATGTAGAGAGTAGCGGGCTGATGGATAGAGAGAGAAGCTGTTCTAGGATTATATAAAGAACACCTAGGAGGATGCCCATTTCCTTATCTTTAGTGTATTTCCATTCAGGATCTTCCTAGCGGAGAGCTCACCAAAGTCATTATGATGGGCATATTTTCTTGCAGGGACCTGCCAATTTATCCCATTATAGCTATGCCTCCCCATTCTCTGAAGTCCTTAACAGACATCTCAATTCATCTTCCTTTAAAGCTGAGCCATGGGAAAGGCTCAGTGAATTACAGGGCCAGTACTCTCTTTCCTTTCCATCCCCCAAATTTTCTACACCCTCAGTTGCCAGAGAACTGCTCACTATCATCACCTGTTCAGAGAAACGCATTAGCTATAGAGCACATTGGCGCAGATATCTTTCTTAGATGCATATCTTTAGGAAGCAATTCCACCCAGCCTGGGGTCCTAAAGGTAGGAGGTTGGGAAGATTTGTTTTGGTGGAAGAAGGTGTGATGTCCTAGAAAAAGATAGAATCCCAGACTCTGGTCCTCACTTTGCCATTTCTCATCTCTTTATTCATATAAAATAAAAAGTTTGTTCTAGTATTTCCTAAGTATCAGACATGGACCCTACTTTCAGGACAATAGTAATGATAATAGTAATGTGTCCAATAGTCATAGTAATAGTAGTGAGTCTAATAGTAATGATATAATGGTCATATGGACTTATTTTAGTGCTTCCATTTATTTCATGAAAGGAGTTCAGGGAGTTCGGGGGAAAATAGATTTATTTCATTTTGGGGGTAAATCTAGGAAGACTTCATGGAAGAGTTAGTGTTTGAAGTAACCCTTGAAGAATGGAAAGGGACTGAACAGATTTAATGCATCATCTGGAATGTGCTGCTTATCCTTCTTATGTGAAAGTTTCTGTCCAGATCTATTAAATGAAGAAGCTTTAATCTATGAGTGTAAATTAATCAACTTTTAGTGAGCACGTATTACAGAGACTGAGGTAGACACAAGTAGTAAAATGATGGAGTAGGTGGGATCTTTTAGCAAGCAGCCCCCAAAGACATCACAATATGCAGCATGAGGGCCACTTAGGAAGCCCTCTACTTACCAACTTCTGCCTTTCCCAGATATGACCAAATCTTATTTCAGGACCAAGGTCAGCACCTCAGTCTGCCTCTTGGGAGTCATCCTGGGTTCGACTACCACTGAGTTGTTTGTCTCCAGACATGTTTGAGGTGTTTCACAGACATGATAAACACCATTGTGTCTGGTAAGGGCAAAATTAGAGTGTGGAAAATTCTTGCAAGAAAATGGGCATGATTTTGGAGGGAATAAAAACATGAATAAAAAATTGTGCTGAACAAAGATAGATGTTGTGGTCTATATGGGATGATTTGATTGAAGAGATAACTCTGAAGAGTAGAATGTATACCATGTAGACATGCAAGAGGACATGTCCCCATAGTTGTCACTCAGGAAAAATAACAATATCAATACTATTTGAAATTTGCAAGGCAATTTCTTTGTGTTCTACTTATACATTAGCATGTTTATTCCTCACAAAAATATTTGGGATGTAGTTGCTACTATTACCATTATCTCTTTTTTATAGGTACAGAAACTGAGTCTAGAGTGGTTATGCAACTTGCTAAAGTATGTGGTTATAAAAAAGCACCCTTCTCCCTCTCCAGTAAATATACAATATTTAACACATATTGAATCTGTCCTGTGTGCCAGGAATTGTTCTAAGCTCCCTCTATTCACTCGTTTCTACATAACTTCATTTTGTTCTTATCACAACCCTATGGGATAGGCTCTGATTATGGGTCTCACTCTGAGACTGAGACAAGTAAAGTAACATGTCCAGGGAACTGGGGCTGGGAAATGAATCTAGTTTGCCTAATTCCAGAAGCTTCTTTTATATAGCAGAACATTAAGGCAGTGGCGATGTTTACGGAGAGGACACAACCAGTCTGATAAATTCTCAAGAGGTAAAACCCAAATGGTTGTTTGGCTGAAGGCACAGAACAGGGAGAAGCTGAGGTTTCTATACAATTTCTTCCAGCTTTCTCTCTCTGCCTCAAAGAAGGAAAGCAGATGTGGGGGGCGGTGGGGGGGCGCATGTTGAGCTGTCTGGGGCTTTCAAAGCAAAGACTGAACCAGCCCAGGATCCCAAAGGCTGGCTCTGGTGTGTGCCCAACTGCTGCTTCAGGCAAATTATTTTTACTTCAATAATTCTGTTTCCTCATCTGGAAAATAGAGGAAATAAGATCTTCTTTCCACTTACTTCACGTCAGTGTTTTTCAGATAAAAGACTGAGTTATGCAGAACATCATGTCTCAATTGCTGTGGGGGAGAGTGCAAGCATGAAAGACTGACATCGGCAAATTCATTCATTCGTTCACTCACACATTCAGTTATGGGATCATAAACTCCTTGAGCTAGAAGGGATCTTTAGGGCTCATTTCACCAACTTCCCCAAATCAAGAATCCCACCTAAGCTATTCTGGGGTTAGCCTTTGTGTGAACACCTCCAGTGATCCCTCTATGCTGGCCTCTCAAAGATACTCTTCCCAATGTTAAAAAAAGCTGTCAATGGGCAAAGTTATCCACCCATTTAGCTGGAAGTTTCTCTTTCTTCTATTCTTATTGTTTGCTCATTTTAAACATAATTGTTGACTACCTAGCTATGTGCCAGACGCTGCAGAGGAAGCAACCATTAACATTGCCCTTGGGGATATTCTAACATGGTTGAGAATATAGAATGAATACTCCTAAAGATCTACACAATAAACAAAAAAATAAGAGTGATCAGAAGGCTAATCCCTGTAGGGGTCACCTGGAAGGTATGGAGGATAAACGTAAGAGGGTATCAGAGGAGAAAGAGAAGCTGGTGAGTGACTAGGAAGATCTGCTTGAGGTGAAACTTCAGGGGTGTCTTAAAAGAAGAGTTAAGGCTGGGCATGGTTGTTCACACCTGTAATCTCAGCACTTTCAGAGGCTGAGGCGGGTGGATCACCTGAGGTCAAGAGTTCGAAACCAGCCTGGCCAACATGGTGAAACCCCGTCTCTACTAAAAATACAAAAATTAGCCGGGCATGGTGTCGGGCGCCTGCAATCTCAGCTACTAGGAAGCTGAGGCAGGAGAATCACTTGAACCTGGGAGGCAGAGGTTGCAGTGAGCCGAGATTGCCCCACTGCACTCAGCCTGGGTGACCGGCAGCCTAGGCAGGTGGAACAGTGGAAGCAAAATGCAGCGACAAGAATGTAGACAGGCTACATATTCTGTTCTTCAGAGTTATCCCTATAGTGTGAGGAGAGAGGTTAGACCCAAGATTGTCTCTAGATTTAAGGCAAGAGAGGAAGCTAAATGGATTAGGTTGTGAGGAGCCTAGAATGGCAGGTGCAGACAGTGGGATTTAGTGGAATGTAATGTGTCCAGTGGTTAAAATCTGGAAACTAAGAGTCACATTGGCTGGAGTGAAGCCCTGCTTTTGCCACCTATAGTCGGTGGCCTGGTGCAAACTCCTTAACATTGCTAAGCTTCATTTTCCCATCTATAGAGTCAATGACAGCACTCACCTCACAAGGCTGTCATGAAGATAAAATGAGATACATGTGCAGGTAAAATGCTCAGCTCAGATGGAGGCACATGTTGAGCAGTTAGTGAATATGAACTGCTACTGTTGTTATTGGTGCTTTTGTTATCTGACCTATCCTCTTGGTAATGTGGAGCCACTAATCCTCTGTAAGCTTCAGGTGAGCATGTTTTTCTTCCTAGTGATAGCCATTTATCTAAGACTCAAACTGGTAATTGGGTTATTCTCCTTTGATTGTGTCAGATCCCTTTCTGGCAGGAGATGGTAATGACCCAGGAAATGGCCAAGAGATCTTTTAGTTAAGGGAAAGAGGCAGAAACCAACAGACCAGAGTGAGAAATGTAGCTGTTCATCTCAGCTCTGTCACCAACCATGGGTGAGTCTCCTATCCTCTCTTGCCCCATTTTCCCCATTTGTCAACTGAGGGTCTTTGTCCTGGTAATCACTGAGATCAACTCCTTCTGCACTCTCTGTGAGTCTGGCTGCAATCCGGCCCAGAAACATAGTCTGTGAATCACTGTGGCTTGTCTCTCTATAAGGCATAATCATTATTTAAATGAACTCTTGTACTAATCTAGCACTTTTTATACTTCATAAAGCTTTCCTGATATTATCTTACCCATATCTCATCACAGTTCATGAGATAATTAGGGCAGATGCTCCTAATCTCCTTTGAGAGATGGAATAACTGAGATCTAGAGAGAAGTGAAAGCCTATGGTGCCACAGCCACTGCGTCTCTTGATTTGGGCTTCCCATGCTAGGCTGATTTCATCCAGGGAATCTTTTTTTTTGTTTTTTTTTTTTAAGAAAAAAACTTGTTATTTTGCAAATTGAAGGTTGTTTTTCTTTTTCCAAGTGAAACAATCTATTTAATTTTCTCTCCGACAGTAATTTTTGTTACTAATTCTTCTAAACCCCTTTGCATTGCAGTTGCCAACATTTCAGGTTGCTTGCAGTACAAATATTACTTTGACTAATGAGACTTGAAAACTAACTGATCACATTTTTGAGTTACTACAGTAATATAGAAATTAAAGAAACATACAAAGAATTCAGTAACAAAGCAGTATCAGATATTTCCTCTTAAAGAAAATTTTGATAATGGCTGAGACCTCTGGGTGGATGGGCAGGTTAGACAGGTATGCACACCCATCTAAGATGGTTGAGTTGCAACACTTGAAAACATGATGAATACTTGAACACTTGAAATACGGATACTTGAAAACATAGGGTTTAAAAGTGTGAAGGCTGGAAAACTTGGACTAGATTGTGAGTTGGGTCTTTGTCATTTACCAGGTGAATGGGATGGGAGAAGTCATTCAACTTCAGTTCTATTATCTTTAAAGTGGTGGTACTAATAGCAGGTACCTCACAGATATGAGTTGAATATTAAATTAGGCAATTAGGATAAACTATCCTTCATAGTGTTTGGAACATACTCAGAGCTCAGAAAGATCAGCCGCCATTACTAGTTTAGGACCTAGGAACCCATGTACCTAAGAATTAAACTTGTATGTTAGAGTCCCACAGACCTATGTGTCTCAGCTCAGGCCCCTGGCTGGGCTTCTGACCTGCATAGTTAACTATCTTTTCAACATCTCTTTCCAAAAGTCTTAGAGGCACATTGATCTAAACAGATTCAAGAGACAACCCATGATCTTCCTCCCAAACAAGCATATGTCCCGGTCTTCATGTCAGTCAATGGCGCTACTCCCTACTCATCTATTTGTTCAGCCAAAAATCTGAGAAAATCCTAGACCTTTGCCTCTTGACCCTGCTGCTCAATCAGAAATCGCCAGTCCTGTTAATTCCACCTCCCAGACACGTCTAAATTCTTTCTTTTTTCTCCTACATCCACTGCTATCCACTAGCTTAATAATTACAGTGTCTCATTTTTCCAAAGAAGACATACAAATAGCCAACAGGTATGTGAAAAGGTGCTCAACATCACTACTCATGAGAAAAGTGTAAATTAAATCCACAATAAGCTAGCACCTCACACCTGTTAAAATGGCTATTCTCAGAAAGACAAGAGGTAGCAAGTGTTGTGAGGGTGTGAAGAAAAGGGAACTCTTGTACACTGTCAGTGGGAAAGTAAATTGGTACATCCATTATGGAAAATAGTATAGAGGTTCCTCAAAAAATTAACAATAGAGCTACCATACGAGCCAAAAATCCTTCTGCTGGGTATATACCCAAAGAAAATGAAATCAGCACCTTGTAAAGATCTCTGCCCTCCCATGTTCATTGCAACATTTTTCACAATAGCCAAAACATCGAAACAACCAAAGTATCCATCAACAGATGAATAAATTTTATAATGTGATATACACATATATGTAATGGAATATTATTCAACCTTAGAAAAGAAGGAGACGCTGCCATTTGTCACAAGCATGGATGAAGCTAGAGGACATTAGACTAAATGGAATAAGATACAGAAGGGAGAATACTGCATGATCTCACATATATGTGGAATCTCATGAAAAAGTAGACACAAAGAATGGGATGGTAATTATCAAGAGTGGGGAGAAAGGGAAATGGAGAGAAGTAGGTTAAAGGGTACAAACTTGCAGTTATGTATGATGAGAAAGTCCAGAGACCTAATGCACAGCATGAGAACTGTAGTTAATAATATTGCATAATGTACTGAAAGCGTGCTAAGAAAGTAGATTTTAGGTGCTCTTATCACATACACACTCACACACACACACGATCACACTCACACAAGGTAACTGTGGAAAGTGACAGGTAGATCGATTAATTTGCTTAACTGTACTAATCATTTCACCATATATGCATATTTCAAAACATCATGTTGTACATCTTAAACATACGGAATACAAAATTTTAAAAAAGGAAACAGAAGAAAAAAATTACTGTCTCATTTGAAACTATTATGATGTCTCCTCTTCCTTTCTTACCCCTCTCTAATCCATTTTTCTCAATCAACCAGATGGGATTTTGAAGTCTCAGCGTACTTATTTGTCCCCTGAAGTCCCTCCTTACATATTAGCGAATTTCTGACCACAGTTTTGTATCTTTTAACATCCTCCATGACCTCTTCTTGTCCTTCCACTGTGGTTTCATTGCATGGCTCTGGGTGGAATTTTTGTTTGTCTTTTTTTTTTGCTTTGTTATATATATTTTTAAATTAGTAAACTTTTAAAGAAAATTTTTATGTTCATAGGAAAATTGAGCACACATTACAGAGAGTTCTCATATACACCCCATTCATTAACACAGTTTCCCCTATCGTTGATGTCTTGCATTAGTGAGGTAGATTTGTTAAACTTAATTAACCGATATTAATATGTTATTACTGGCTAAAATCCATACTCTTCATTAAGGATCACTCTTGTATAGGTTTGACAAATGCATTGTGTCATGTAACCACCATTGCCATACCATAAATAATACTTTCAGGCCGGGTGCCATGGCTCACACCTGTAATCCCAACACTTTGGGAGGCCAAGGAGGGTGGACCACGAGGTCAGGAGTTTGAGACCAGCCTGGCCAACATGGTGAAACCCTGTCTCTATTAAAAATACAAAAAATTAGCCAGGCGTGGTGGCAGACGCCTGTAATCTCAGCTACTCGGGAGTCTGAGGCAGGAGAATCGCTTGAGACTGGAAGGTGGAGGATGCAGTGAGCTGAGATCATGCTGTTGCATTCCAGGCTGGGTGACAAGAGAGAAACTCCATTTCAAAAAAAAAAAAAAAAGAATAGTTTCACCGCACTAAACTTCTCTGGTGCTGCACTCTCTTTTCCTCCTCTTGTAACCCTAGGAACCACACTGATCTTTTTACTGTCTCTATAGTTTTGCTTTTTTTTTCAGGATGTTATATAGTTGGAATAATACAGTATGTAGCCTTTTCTGATTGGCTTCTTTAATTTACCAATATGTATTTAAAGTTACTCCCTGGCTTTTCATGCCTTTATGACTCATTTAATTGCTAAATAATATTCCATTATATGGAGGTACCACCACTCATTTATTCATTCACCTTTTGAAGAATTCTTGCTTGCTTCTAGTTTTTGGCAATTATGAATAAAAAGCCGCTATAGATATTTATTTGCAGGTTTCTGTATGGATATAAGATTTCAATACATTTGCTAAATATCTAGAAGCATTATTGTTGGATTCTATGGTAAGATTGTTTAACTTTGTAAGAAACTGCCGTATGGCTTTCAATGTGGTTGTACCATTTTTCAATCCTACCAACGAGTGACAGTTCCATGTGCTCCACATCCTTGTCAGCGTTTGGTGTTGTCCGTGTTTTGGACTTCAGCCACTCTAAGGGATGTGTAGTGGTAGTTCATCATTATTTCAATTTGCAGTTCTTTAATAGCATGTGATGTGGAGCATCTTTTCATGTGTCTGTTCACCATTTGTCTATCTCTTTGATGAGGAATATGTTCAAATGTTTTGCCCATATTTAATTTGGCCTTTTCTTTTCTTATTGATGAGTTTTAAGAGTTCTTTGTATATGTTCGTTACAAGTCCTTTATGTGATGTACATTTTGTAAATATTTTCTGTCTGTGAGTCGCCTTTGCAATCGCTTAACAATGTCCTTCATAAGCAGAAGTTTTTAACTTTTACGAAGTGCAACTTGATTTTTTTCTGTCACAGATCTTACTTTTTACGTTATATCTAGAAAGCCATTGTCAAATCCAAAGCCATCTAGATCTTCTCCTACATAATCTTTTATGATTTTTATATTTTACATTTAGGTCATTTTACATTTTTATCCATTTTTGGAGAATGAGTAAAGTCTATGTCTAGATTCGTTTTTTGACAGTGAATTTCCAGTTGTTTCAGCACCATTTCTTGAGATTATTCTTTCTCCATTGAATGTATTTTCCTCTTCTGTCTAAGATCAGCTGAGTATATTTGTATGGGTCTATTTCTGGGCTCTCTCTTCTGTTTTAGTGATCTATTTGTCTATTATTTCTCCAATACTACACTGTTTTAGTTACTGTAGGTTTACAATACGTTTTGAAATTGAATAGTGTCAGTCACCTGATTTTGTTATTTTTTGTTGTTGTTCTGGGGTACATGACAACTCTGATGTACAATTGCCACCTTGAAGGTTGAGTCATAAAATATTTTTATAAGCCTCATAAATGTAAGAGTGGTGAGTGACCCTGGTTAGCTATTCCATAAGAAAATTTTAAACAAGTCCTATTTACTTCCACCCTAGGGAGGGAGCAATATTCTCCCCCATGGTCTCACTCTTACATAAGTTGTCTCAGCCTTCTGCCATCCTGTCACTAGATGGGGGCGGTTTACAAGTGTATGTGACAATTGGCCAGCCCTGGGATGGGTTAGTGAGAGTGCCCACATTTGTAGATGGCTCATCTTTTGAGTCCATTTACATTCTTAGTTCCTTCTTTCCATTTTTTTCAGTATGGATCAAGTCACCAATTCACTTTCAGAAATCTTAGGTGAGAATTGGTTACTCTCTGTGTATATATACCCCAGGAGTCTCCAGAGTCCTCCAGGGCCCTCCTGCTATCTCTACCCTCATGGCAGCTTTGGGATGACAGTTCTAATGCCTTCAGATCAGCTAAGTGTCCCAACTGGAGAGAAAGATGTCAGTTCCCTTCCTGGACTCACATCCAACATCTCAGTGGAGTTCTCTCAGAAATCCTCTCACTTTCCTCTAAGTAGGAGTAATCTCTTTTAATGATGAGGGTAGAGAAAATGCAGACATATGCTGCATGAGGCCAACAGTTTTCCCAAATGTTTAGTTTTCTCTTCCATGGTCTGGTTGGGATGACAAAGGTAAAGACTGAAGGATCAGGTTTTCTATCTTTTAGCAAAATCTGTAAAAGGAAATTTGGCAGTTTCTAGAAGGTTGGCATACTTTGATCCTGTTGTTTTTGACATTGGGCCTTTAGTCAAATACTGAGATCACAGAGAAACTGTTGGCTAAAATCCAGTTACATGTGAACATGCTCACCTGTGTTCCTTTTTCCAAATTCCCAAATTTCTTACCATGAGTTAGTAAGAGCTCTACAAGTCAGGCCCTGGCTTCCTGTCCGGTCTCAGCACCCAGCATTCCCCTCCAGCACACTCTGTGGTAGCCACACTTGCTCCATGCTGTGGCCATGCACCCAAGCTTCTGCTGCCTTATTCTGTGTCCCCTCTCCCAGGGACACTTCTTCAGACTGTTACATGGCTCTATCACTTCATGCAGTTTCCTGCTCAAATGACGCCACTGCAAAGTGGTTGCAGAGGCCACCTTTAGCTATATACCTACTCTCCATCCTCTCATCCTGCATTAGCACTTTCTGTCTTCTCTATCTCAGCCTCTTTAAATATAAACTCCATAAGGATGGGTACGTGGATGTCTTGTTCATTTCTGTGTCTTCGGTGTCTAGAACAGGCCTGGCACATGATAGATGCTCAAGAAATATTTGTTAAATATCGATATTACTAATTACTCTGGCAATATTCGTCACATGCTTGCTATGGGCCTAGTTCTTTGCTATCACTGCTGCATTTTATTTCTAATACTTCGCAAATAATTTCAATTCTCAGACAGAAATGATTACCACATAACTGTCAAAGGACCTAACACAGAGCTGGGTACACACTGAAGACACACAGATGTTTATGGATAGATTGATTTCTACTGGGCCTTTGCTTTTAAGTTGTGGCTTTGAGCCAAGTAAAGCATATGCAACATCTACACGGAGCCTATAGAATTAGGGGCCCTAGCAGCATTTATTTATTTACTTTATTTTTTTAACATACCTTAAGTTTTAGGGTACATGTGCACAACGTGCAGATGTGTTGCATATGTATACATGTGCCACCTAGCAGCATTTAATAAGATGCTCAACACTGTACTAATTTTTCTCAGCTGCTTTTTATTTAAATTCATTCCAACGCTTTCTTCTCTTTTGCACTCCCACTGTGGTGACTTTATTGAGCAGATGTCTTCAACTTAGCAGATGTCTTTGCTGAACTTTCCAGGATGACTCTGAACTCCCCCTTGGGAGTCTGTCACTAATTCATCCCATTACAACATGCACAAAGAGTTACTGTTTTCCCTCCAGCATACTCTACCAAGCACTTGCCTATGTCTTATTTTGTTGTCTGCTGTATTTGGTAATTGCCCAGTGAAATAAAAATCACAGGGGTCCTCACTGTTTTTCCTTTGCCCAAAATCCTTTTTGATACAAATAGGGAATTTTCATCTCCACATAAGTCTGGATTTTAGGAATGTAGCTTAATGGAAATCACTCTTTTGATCCACCCTATCCATGCGTGTATGGGAAGAGTGGAGTCTGTAGAGACTTAGGGGGTCAAGAATGGGTGCTAGGTGCCACAGGGCAGGAATCAGAGTGAGTGAAGAATTCCTAAATGACAGTCAAGGGTACTGAGAACCAGAGAGTCATATAAAACCAGAGTCAGGCTGGGCACGGTGGCTCACACCTGTAATCCCAGTATTTTGGGAGGCTGAGGCAGGCGGATCACCTCAGGTCAGGAGTTCAAGACCAGCCTGACCAACATGGCAAAACCCCGTCTCTACTAAAAATACAAAAAATAGCTGGGCATGGTGGTGGGTGCCTGTAATCCCAGCTACTCAGAAGGCTGAGGCACAAGAATCACTTAAACCCAGGAGGCGGAGGTTACAGTGAGCCGAGATCATGCCACTGCATTCCAGCCTGGGCAACAGAGCTAGACTCCATCTCAAACAAAACAAAACAAAACAAAACAAAACAAAACAAAAAAAACAGAGTCATATAAAATTTAAACATCAGGCACAGCATGTCAGACCCCAAGCCCAGGTTTCCAGAGGCAAGGAAAAGGTGAAGCCGGAGATGACAGCTTGGCTTAGATGAGAAGGTAGGGGAGAGGACGTCAGAATGGGACTTCGAGTGTTCCCAAACAGTACTTCTGGTCCTAAAGGCTCATGAGGAGAGAAAGGTAGGCCAAAAGCAGGGAGAAGAACCACTTTTTTAGAAGGATGTTTTAGTTTTTTTATGTGGCCACAACAGCAGTCACATTGACATTTGAATCTTGATAGAGTTTGTGAAGAATTTTAACATGTGTTATGGTATGTGACTAATTCTGTGAGCTAGAAAGTGTTGTAATTTCTCACTTTATAGCTAAGAAATCTAAGACACCAGAGAAGTTATGTGACTTGCCTGAAGTTACACAGCTAGAAAATGGTTGAGCCAGGATTCAAGCAGAGTTGTATCTAATTGAGAAGTTCATTGTCTTTTTATTTACTCCAGAGACATTTGCTTTGTATTTGCCATATGTCAGATACTGTTCTGGATGCTCAGGAGATATCAGTGAATCAGGCAGACAAGGCATCTGCCATTCTGGGTCTTGCATTCTCTTCATTATATCTGCATCTTGCAGAACTTCTTGACAGGATCTTGATCCAATGCATAGAAGGGGGTGGTATCTTGCACAGTAACATAACACATCTGTTCACAAAGGAGATGCTTTCCAACTACAGTTTACAATAACAAGAGTCAGCACTTATTAAAGATTTATTATATGCCAAACATTGTGAGAGGTGCTTTCTATATAGTACCTATTCTGTCTTCACAATAACCCTCTGAGGCAGGCACTACTGTCATCATTTTACAGATAAAGAAACTGAGGTTTGAGGAAATTTTTTTCAATTGGTTCACATGGCTAGTTTTATCAGAGCTGGATTTGCATCTAGAAGGATCCAACTCCAAAGCTTGTGCCCTTCATCAAAAAGCCTTAGAAACTCAGTGTTACTACAAATTTTATTGCCTAATGTAGAAAAACAATAAATGATAGGAGATATATTCAAGAGTCGAGTCATAGTTACTGGGCTTCTGTGGAGGCAGCAGCCTTCTTTCTTTTCATCCTGATCAGTAGAATTGGGGCTCTGCAGAATTTGCAGCTACTGTGGGGTATAACCCTACTCCAGAAAAGGTACTGTGAGATTAAAACCAATCAAAAATCAAGTTGACACTGTGACTTTTTAAAATGTAATTATAAAAAAGAATTCACCTCTCCCTCTCCCTCTCCCTCTCCCTCTTTCCACGGTCTCCCTCTGATGCCTAGCCGAAGCTGGACTGTACTGCTGCCATCTCGGCTCACTGCAACGCCCCTGCCTGATTCTCCTGCCTCAGCCTGCCGAGTGCCTGCGATTGCAGGCGTGCATCGCCACGCCTGACTGGTTTTCATATTTTTTTGGTGGAGACGGGGTTTCGCTGTGTTGGCCGGGCTGGTCTCCAGCTCCTAACCGTGAGTGATCCGCCAGCCTCGGCCTCCCGAGGTGCCGGGATTGCAGACGGAGCCTCGTTCACTCAGTGCTCAATGGTGCCCAGGCTGGAGTGCAGTGGCGTGATCTCGGCTCGCTACAACCACCTCCCAGCCGCCTGCCTTGGCCTCCCAAAGAGCCGAGATTGCAGTCTCTGCCCGGCCGCCACCCCGTCTGGGAAGTGAGGAGCGTCTCTGCCTGGCCGCCCATCGTCTGGGATGTGAGGAGCCCCTCTGCCTGGCTGCCCAGTCTGGAAAGTGAGGAGCGTCTCTGCCCGGCCGCCATCCCATCTACGAAGTGAGAAGCGCCTCTTCCCTGCCGCCATCCCATCTAGGAAGTGAGGAGCGTCTCTGCCCGGCCACCCATCGTCTGAAATGTGGGGAGCGCCTCTGCCCCAACGCCCCGTCTGGGATGTGAGGAGCGCCTCTGCCCCGCCGCGACCCAGTCTGGGAGGTGAGGAGCGTCTCTGCCCAGCCGCCCCGTCTGAGAAGTGAGGAGACCCTCTGCCTGGCAACCGCCCCATATGAGAAGTCAGGAGTCCCTCCGCCCGGCAGCCACCTCATCTGAGAAGTGAGTAGCGTCTCCGCCCGGCAGCCACACCGTCCGGGAGGGAGGTGGGGGTCAGCCCCCGCCAGGCCAGCAGCCCCGTCCGGGAGGGAGGTGGGGGGGTCAGCCCCCCTCCCGGCCAGCCGCACGGTCCGGGAGGGAGGTGGGGGGGTCAGCCCCCCGGCCTGGCCAGCCACCCCGTCCGGGAGGTGAGGGGCGCCTCTGCCCGGCCGCCCCTACTGGGAAGTGAGGAGCCCCTCTGCCCGGCCACCATGCCGTCTGGGAGGTGTACCCAACAGATCATTAAGAACGGGCCATGATGACAATGGCGGTTTTGTGGAATAGAAAGGGGGGAAAGGTGGGGAAAAGATTGAGAAATCGGATGGTTGCCGTGTCTGTGTAGAAAGAAGTAGACATGGGAGACTTTTTGTTTTGTTCTGTACTAAGAAAAATTATTCTGCCTTGGGATCCTGTTGATCTGTGACCTTACCCCCAACCCTGTGCTCTCTGAAACATGTGCTGTGTCCACTCAGGGTTAAATGGATTAAGGGCGGTGCAAGATGTGCTTTGTTAAACAGATGCTTGAAGGCAGCATGCTCGTTAAGAGTCATCACCACTCCCTAATCTTAAGTACCCAGGGACACAAACACTGCGGAAGACCGCAGAGTCCTCTGCCTAGGAAAACCAGAGACCTTTGTTCACTTGTTTATCTGCTGACCTTCCCTCCACTATTGTCCTATGACCTTGCCAAATCCCCCTCTGCGAGAAACACCCAAGAATGATCAATAAATAAATTAATTAATTAATTTAAAAAAATTCAAATGTAAAAGTATTCACAAAAGGGTAAATAGAAACAAATAAAATAATAATAATAGTGTAGGACTTAAACTCCATATTCTATAAACAATACTAGAAAGTTGACAAAGTATTTTGGAGGAGGGAAGTATGCTTATGTTTTCATTATAGAGGGGAGTAATTGTGGTTTTATTCTTGAAGTTAATAATAAGAAATATAGTTTCAAATAATTTTACAAGACAGTTAACATTAGAGATATACTTATCTATTCTTCTCAACATCCCACTCAAAGAAAAATTAAGGGGGAGGAGCCAAGATGGCCGAATAGGAACAGCTCCAGTCTACAGCTCCCAGTGTGAGCGACGTAGAAGACTGGTGATTTCTGCATTTACATCTGAGGTACCGCGTTCATCTCACTAGGGAGTCCCAGGCAGTGGGCACAGGTCAGTGGGTGCGCGCACCTTGTGCGAGCCGAAGCAGGGCGAGGCATTGCCTCACTTGGGAAGTGCAAGGGGTCAGGGAGTTCCCTTTCTGAGTCAAAGAAAGGGTGACGGATGGCACCTGGAAAATCGGGTCACTCCCACCCGAATACTGCGCTTTTCCGATGGGCTTAAAAAACAGCACACCACGAGATTATATCCTGCACCTGGCTCGGAGGGTCCTACCCCATGGAGTCTCGCTGATTGCTAGCACAGCAGTCTGAGATCAAACTGCAAGGCGGCAGCGAGGCTGGGGGAGGGGCCCCCGCCATTGCCCAGGCTTGCTTAGGTAAACAAAGCAGCCAGGAAGCTCGAACTGGGTGGAGCCCACCACAGCTCAAGGAGGCCTGCCTGCCTCTGTAGGCTCCACCTCTGGGGGCAGGGCACAGACAAACAAAAAGACAGCAGTAACCTCTGCAGACTTAAATGTCCCTGTCTGACAGCTTTGAAGAGAGCAGTTGTTCTCCCAGTATGCAGCTGGAGATCTGAGAACGGGCAGACTGCCTCCTCAAGTGGGTCCCTGACCCCTGACCCCCGACCCCCGAGCAGCCTAACTGGGAGGCACCCCCCAGCAGGGGCACACTGACACCTCACATGGCAGGGTACTCCAACAGACCTGCAGCTGAGGGTCCTCTCTGTTAGAAGGAAAACTAACAAACAGAAAGGACATCCACACCAAAAACCCATCTGTACATCACCATCGTCAAAGACCAAAAGTAGATAAAACCACAAAGATGGGGAAAAAACAGAACAGAAAAACTGGAAAGTCTAAAAAGCAGAGCACCTCTCCTCCTCCAAAGGAACACAGTTCCTCACCAGCAACAGAACAAAGCTGGATGGAGAATGACTTTGACGAGCTGAGAGAAGAAGGCTTCAGACGATCAAATTACTCTGAGCTACAGGAGGACATTCAAACCAAAGGCAAAGAAGTTGAAAACTTTGAAAAAAATTTAGAAGAATGTATAACTAGAATAACCAATACAGAGAAGTGCTTAAAGGAGCTGATGGAGCTGAAAACCAAGGCTCGAGAACTACGTGAAGAATGCAGAAGCCTCAGGAGCCGATGCGATCAACTGGAAGAAAGGGTATCAGCAATGGAAGATGAAATGAATGAAATGAAGTGAGAAGGGAAGTTTAGAGAAAAAAGAATAAAAAGAAATGAGCAAAGCCTCCAAGAAATATGGGACTATGTGAAAAGACCAAATCTACCTCTGCTTGGTGTACCTGAAAGTGATGGGGAGAATGGAACCAAGTTGGAAAACACTCTGCAGGATATTATCCAGCAGAACTTCCCCAATCTAGCAAGGCAGGCCAACATTCAGATTGAGGAAATACAGAGAACGCCACAAAGATACTCCTCAAGAAGAGCAACTTCAAGACACATAATTGTCAGATTCACCAAAGTTGAAATGAAGGAAAAAATGTTAAGGGCAGCCAGAGAGAAAGGTCGGGTTACCCACAAAGGGAAGCCCATCAGACTAACAGTGGATCTCTCGGCAGAAACCCTACAAGCCAGAAGAGAGTGGGGGCCAATATTCAACATTCTTAAAGAAAATAATTTTCAACCCAGAATTTCATATCCAGCCAAACTAAGCTTCATAAGTGAAGGAGAAATAAAATACTTTACAGACAAGCAAATGCTGAGAGATTTTGTCACCACCAGGCCTGCCTTACAAGAGCTCCTGAAGGAAGCGCTAAACATGGAAAGGAACAACTGGTACCAACCGCTGCAAAATCATGCCAAAATGTAAAGACCATCGAGACTAGGAAGAAACTGCATCAACTAACGAGCAAAATAACCAGCTAACATCATAATGACAGGATCAAATTCACACATAACAATATTAACTTTAAATGTAAATGGACTAAATGCTCCAATTAAAAGACACAGACTGGCAAATTGGATAAAGAGTCAAGACCCATCAGTGTGCTGTATTCAGGAAACCCATCTCATGTGCAGAGACACACATAGGCTCAGAATAAAAGGATGGAGGAAGATCTACCAAGCCAATGGAAAACAAAAAAAGGCAGGGGTTGCAATCCTAGTCTCTGATAAAACAGACTTTAAACCAACAAAGATCAAAAGAGACAAAGAAGGCCATTACATAATGGTAAAGGGATCAATTCAACAAGAAGAGCTAACTATCCTAAATACACATGCACCCAATACAGGAGCACCAAGATTCATAAAGCAAGTCCTGAGTGACCTACAAAGAGACTTAGACTCCCACACATTAATAATGGGAGACTTTAACACCCCACTGTCAACATTAGACAGATCAACGAGACAGAAAGTCAACAAGGATACCCAGGAATTGAACTCAGCTCTGCACCAAGCGGACCTAATAGACATCTACAGAACTCTCCACCCCAAATCAACAGAATATACATTTTTTTCAGCACACACCACACCTATTCCAAAATTGACCACATACTGGGAAGTAAAGCTCTCCTCAGCAAATGTAAAAGTACAGAAATTATAACAAACTATCTCTCAGACCACAGTGCAATCAAACTAGAACTCAGGATTAAGAATCTCACTCAAAACGGCTCAACTACATGGAAACTGAACAACCTGCTCCTGAATGACTACTGGGTACATAACGAAATGAAGGCTGAAATAAAGATGTTCTTTGAAACCAACGAGAACAAAGACACAACATAACAGAATCTCTGGGACGCATTCAAAGCAGTGTGTAGAGGGAAATTTATAGCACTAAATGCCCACAAGAGAAAGCAGGAAAGATCCAAAATTGACGCCCTAACATCACAATTAAAAGAACTAGAAAAGCAACAGCAAACACATTCAAAATCTAGCAGAAGGCAAGAAATAACTAAAATCAGAGCAGAACTGAAGGAAATAGAGACACGAAAAACCCTTCAAAAAATTAATGAATCCAGGAGCTGGTTTTTTGAAAGGATCAACAAAATTGATAGACTGCTAGCAAGACTAATAAAGAAAAAGAGAGAGAAGAATCAAATAGACGCAATAAAAAATGATAAAGGGGATGTCACCACTGATCCCACAGAAATACAAACTACCATCAGAGAATACTACAAACTCCTCTATGCAAATAAACTAGAAAATCTAGAAGAAATGGATAAATTCCTGGACACATACACTCTCCCAAGACTAAACCAGGAAGAAGTTGAATCTCTGAATAGACCAATAACAGGAGCTGAAATTGTGGCAATAATCAATAGCTTACCAACCAAAAAGAGTCCAGGACCAGATGGATTCACACCCGAATTCTACCAGAGGTACAAGGAGGAACTGGTACCATTCCTTCTGAAACTATTCCAATCAACAGAAAAAGAGGGAATCCTCCCTAACTCATTTTATGAGGCCAGCATCATTCTGATACCAAAGCCGGGCAGAGACACAACAAAAAAAGAGAATTGTAGACCAATATCCTTGATGAAAATTGATGTAAAAATCCTCAATAAAATACTGGCAAACCGAATCCAGCAGCACATCAAAAAGCTTATCCACCATGATCAAGTGGGCTTCATCCCTGGGATGCAAGGCTGGTTCAATATACGCAAATCAATAAATGTAATCCAGCATATAAACAGAGCCAAAGACAAAAACCACATGATTATCTCAATAGATGCAGAAAAAGCCTTTCACAAAATTCAACAACCCTTCATGCTAAAAACTCTCAATAAATTAGGTATTGATGGGACGTATTTCAAAATAATAAGAGCTATCTATGACAAACCCACAGCTGATATCATACTGAATGGGCAAAAACTGGAAGCATTCCCTTTGAAAACTGGCACAAGACAGGGATGCCCTCTCTCACCACTCCTATTCAACATAGTGTTGGAAGTTCTGGCCAGGGCAATTAGGCAGGAGAAGGAAATAAAGGGTATTCAATTAGGAAAAGAGGAAGTCAAATTGTCCCCGTTGGCAGACGACATGATTGTATATCTAGAAAACCCCACTGTCTCAGCCCAAAATCTCCTTAGGCTGATAAGCAACTTCAGCAAAGTCTCAGGATACAAAATCAATGTACAAAAATCACAAGCATTCTTATACACCAACAACAGACAAACAGCCAAATCATGAGTGAACTCCCATTCACAATTGCTTCAAAGAGAATAAAATACCTAGGGATCCAACTTACAAGGGATGTGAAGGACCTCTTCAAGGAGAACTACAAACCACTGCTCAAGGAAATAAAAGAGGATACAAACAAATGGAAGAACATTCCATGCTCATGGGTAGGAAGAATCAATATCGTGAAAATGGCCACACTGCCCAAGGTAATTTACAGATTCAATGCCATCCCCATCAAGCTACCAATGACTTTCTTCACAGAATTGGAAAAAACTACTTTAAAGTTCATATGGAACCAAAAAAGAGCCCACATTGCCAAGTCAATCGGAAGCCAAAGGAACAAAGCTGGAAGCATCACGCTACCTGACTTCAAACTACATTACAAGGCTACAGTAACCAAAACAGCATGGTGCTGGTACCAAAACAGAGATATAGATCAATGGAACAGAACAGAGCCCTCAGAAATAATGCCGCATATATACAACTATCTGATCTTTGACAAACCTGAGAAAAACAAGCAATGGGGAAAGGATTCCCTATTTAATAAATGGTGCTGGGAAAACTGGCTAGCCATATGTAGAAAGCTGAAACTGGATCCCTTCCTTACACCTTATACAAAAATCAATTCAAGATGGATTAAAGACTTAAACGTTAGACCTAAAACCATAAAAACCCTAGAAGAAAACCTAGGCATTACCATTCAGGACATAGGCATGGGCAAGGACTTCATGTCTAGAACACCAAAAGCAATGGCAACAAAAGCCAAAATTGACAAATGGGATCTAATTAAACTAAAGAGCTTCTGCACAGCAAAAGAAACTACCATCAGAGTGAACAGGCAACCTACAAAATGGGAGAAAATTTTCACAACCTACTCATCTGACAAAGGGCTAATATCCAGAATCTACAATGAACTCAAACAAATTTACAAGAAAAAAACAAACAACCCCATCAAAAAGTGGGCGAAGGACATGAACAGACACTTCTCAAAAGAAGACATTTATGCAGCCAAAAAACACATGAAAAAATGCTCATCATCACTGGCCATCAGAGAAATGCAAATCAAAACCACAATGAGATACCATCTCACACCAGTTAGAATGGCAATCATTAAAAAGTCAGGAAACAACAGGTGCTGGAGAGGATGTGGAGAAATAGGAACACTTTCACACTGTTGGTGGGACTGTAAACTAGTTCAACCATTGTGGAAGTCAGTGTGGCGATTCCTCAGGGATCTAGAACTGGAAATACCATTTGACTCAGCCATCCCATTACTGGGTATATACCCAAAGGACTATAAATCATGCTGCTATAAAGACACATGCACACGTATGTTTATTGCGGCATTATTCACAATAGCAAAGACTTGGAACCAACCCAAATGTCCAACAATGATAGTCTGGATTAAGAAAATGTGGCACATATACACCATGGAATACTATGCAGCCATAAAAAATGATGAGTTCATGTCCTTTGTAGGGACATGGATGAAATTGGAAATCATCATTCTCAGTAAACTATCGCAAAACAAAAAACGAAACACCGCATATTCTCACTCATAGGTAGGAATTGAACAATGAGATCACATGGACACAGGAAGGGGAATATCACACTCTGGGGACTGTTGTGGGGTGGGGGGAGGGGGGAGGGATAGCATCGGGAGATATACCTAATGCTAGATGACGAGTTAGTGGGTGCAGCGCACCAGCATGGCACATGTATACATATGTAACTAACCTGCACAATGTGCACATGTACCCTAAAACTTAAAGTATAATAAAAAAAGAAAAAAAAGGAAAAATTAAGTATCATTTGCTTTTGCAATATAAGAGTAAAAATAAAGATAATAATTGTTGACAGTTAAGGGGAGGAGAAAGGATGATTCAAGAAACGGTAGGTAATATCTGATGCAATAAAAAAGAGATGTTAGCATTTCATTCTGAGTTAAAAGTAACCAATGACAAATTTACTTGGCATGGTATCTATTCTTGTGTATTATCTTGGCATATGTATCAATGGCACTCTCTGTTTTTCATCTCACAACTATAAAAAAATAGCAGTAGGTTCATTAGCAGATGAAGGACTTAAGGAAGGAAGAAGTGACAACTAATAAAGCAGGGTGGAAGACTTTAAAGAACACTTAATTGGAAGGAGAAGTTAAACAAAATCAAGAATTGAAAACTTGTTCCAAATATGCAATAATTTAAAAAGACAGGCAATTAGAAATTACAGAATAAAAAAGCAAAACTCCATTAAAAATGTAATCACAACGATTACTATCTTCATAGTGAAAACTATTTACAAAGTTCTAGAAATAATAAAACCAGTTATTGATTTTCATATTTGAGAATTAACCTTCAGGCAAAACATCAAAGATATAAATATGACTTTAAAAATTAAGTATCATTTACTTTGACAATTTAAAAGTAAAAATAAAAATAATCATTGACAGTTAAGGGAGGAGAACAGATGATTAAAGAAAGGGTAGGGAATACTTGATGTGATACAAAAATAAATATATTAGTATTTCATTCAGAGTTTAAAAGTTACCAATGAGAAATTTGCCTGGCATGGTATCTATTCTTGTCTGTTATCTTGGCATATATATTAACAGCACCCTCTTTCCTCTCAAAAATGTCCTGGTTGGATGACAAATTAGATAGTAACTCTACCAATAGAACAACTAAAGATAATGATATATAGATAGATAGTATAGAGATAGATCCATAAATTAGGCATAAAATTTGATACATTAAGAAAGAGCTTGTGGTTATGTGGTTTAATAACAAGACAAAAATATTAAAGACATTTGAGGCAGTTTCTACAATAAAGCAAAGTCCACAAGGGTAGGGACTCTATTCAGCCCTCTATCCCTATCACCCAGCTGAATGCCTGGCGTATAGTAGACATTAAATAAATATTTGTTGAATAAATAATATGGATATGTGTATGCTAGCAAAAGGTATGGCAGGGGACAGTTACTTTCAATGTCTCTATATTATTTAGATATTATTTTAGTTAAGGAATAATATATTTACTCCAAACTTGCAAATTTGTTCAATGCATAGAACTTGGAGAACATAGAATAAGTATAAGAATGTAACAAAACTCATTTGTAACTTCGCTATTCCAAAATTAGTATATTTTAAGTACATATTTATTTTTCTATCATTCATAATTTTTTGAAAATAATACCATACTATTTTGTAGCACGCATTTAAAACAGAGAGAACGGAGTTCGCTTGAAAAAGTTTATTTTGGAGTAACAGCTTTGAAAAAAGGAGAAAAGCAGGATTGGACAGCGGAGGTGGGCACTCTGGAGCAAAGATGGCCTGTTAGAGAAGTTTCACATTATATGTAAGAATCTCTAGGACATTAACTATCACTTTGCTTAGTCAATGAATTGAGGCTATCTGAAACAGGTGTGACCTCAGCTTAAAATTTGAGGTGATCCCTAAAAAGTTAAAAGATTGAGGCTTCCAGGCAATCGTTCTCCTAATGTAACTATGCAGTGAATCTTTTTTTTTTTTTTTTTTTTTTTGAAGGTGGGTAAAGTAGCACATCTTGGTGTCTGCCACAGTCCACTCCTTGCCAGGCATGGATCCTCCATGTATGTTCCAGGAGCAGCTCCTCCAGGGATCCGGTGGAATGACAGGTTTGTGGAATGAACTACAACTGCATCACTACGACAGCTCGCAGGACTGCAGCTGGTGTCCATTGTCTCCTCTACTATACTTTCTAAATTCCCCTCACCCCCAGCTGCTGCTTCTACTAGTAATATGACCCAAGCCTTCATCACTGAAGTGTCTGAGACCATATCCTTTTCAGGCTGGGGTGACACACTTCTCTCTTGGAGTCACAATCTGGGATAACACAATTGAGCCACAAGACGCAACAAAGTGGGTCACCTGAGTTCCATACATGTTTCTTCCTGGCCCCATTTGTTAACGGTAACCTTATGTCCTCTTGCTGATCAACATTAATTGACCCCGATAAGATATTTTCTCTCACTTGCTAGTTCCTGGACATAAGGATTTCAAAGTACTCAGGAACTACAACCACAGGTTATAGTTCAATAGGACCCTTTGGAAGACAGTGTACCCTTTGGGAACCAGGACCGCTAATCCTGAAGACTCCACCATTTCATGGATGAACAGAAAAAAAAAATCCCCTATTGGATTATTGCAAGTGATGATAAATGGGACGGTTCCTGCTTACATCCCTTGGTTCTTAGGTCCCCTGCATTTTTCCTACTGGGGACACAGCACTATATAGAGGTCTCTGATTCAATTTGTATGTCCTGTTTGATGACACTTCATCCACATAGGATATTGCCTCCAAAATGATGCTACAGGTGATCCAAAATAGCACTTCAGTTGAGACTATCATACCATTAAAGAGATAGACAGAGCATCAGCTCTACTTAGCTGGCAGCTTCTTGGTGATACAGCATGCGATAAGAACAGTGAATCCCATAACAATGAGCAATTTCCACACCCTTGCACAACAGTTACTATTTTGTGTAGGAGTCAACGATGTGGGTCAGGCATTTCATAATCTCCCAGATAATGAAGTTGGCTAGGGCCCTGTATGCTGGACAGGCAAGTCTTTACCTGGAATATGTGTCTATTTCTGTGGGAATAAACCATTGGCACCTCCAGGATGAATGGCGAACAATTTAGTGAACTTGCCACCAAATGACCTGCTGTTCTTCTAAAAAAATGGTGCCATACCAGGAGCTCAGCATTGGTCTTTTTCTGGCAGGTTTGATGTTCAGAGGCAATAGTAGCTAGATCAGCTTTGGCAAATGAGAGCCCACATGGTTGAACCCACTTATTGCCTCTGACTTTGCCACTATGATCACTCGTTCAGATGTCCTTTATGCCAGCCTGGGGGATAGGCACTGATAAAGATTGGCTCACGCCTCTAACCCTAGCACTTTGGGAGGCCGAGACAGGTGAATCACGAGGTCAAGAGATCGAGACCATCCTGGCCCAACATGGTGAAACCCCATCTCTACTAAAACTACAAAAATTAGCTGGCCATGGTGGCACACACCTGTAGTCCCAGCTACTTGGGAGGCTGAAGCAGGAGATTCACTTGAACCCGGGAGGTGGAGGTTGCAGTGAGCCCAGATCATGCCACTGCACTCCAGCCTGTTGACAGAGTGAAACTCTGCCTCAAACAACAAAACAAAAAAAAGATTGGCTGACATCAACTGGCTGAGTCATTTTGTCTGCTTAGTTGTTTCGTACCTCTTCCATGGTGAATCCTTTCTAGTAGGCATACTGTATACCTACTCTCATGTGTCTAACCACATTCTTCTAACTCAGACCCTTTAGTCTTTTATTTTCAATTGTTTCTCTTCCAGACCCCTGACCAACCTCTGCCCACTGTACTCAGACCAATTCTCCTTCCATGCAAGTCAATGACAGGCACATCACCTAAAGCCCCACCCATTTCAAAGGTATTCCTTTGCCATTGCTTTTCAAGGCCAGCCCCTGAGTAAGTCTGCAATGAAGCTTTTGTCTGTTTGTGGCTTGTACACACTAAGTTGGCCCATTTAGAAAGCAGATTCATGCTTTTTCTTATTTCTTCAGCTGGACATACAAGAGTCCTTCCTATGACCACATGTGTGACTAAGGGAGGAGGGGTCCTAGTTCAGCCAGAGTAGGTGACATGAGGGTCTGGGCTACCTGTTTCTGCAGTCTGCTTGTGCTTTCTGACCCTTCTCAAGATTGGTCCAAGATATACCATTTTCCTCTTATGATGGATTGCGAAGGGACCCACATAATTTTATGAGTTGGTATGGCAGTCCTGATTTTGGATGAATGGTCACTTGATGTCCCACGGCCAAGTGTCTGTCTCTACAAGGGCTCAATAATACAATAGGAGCCGTTTTTCAGTAATGGTCCACTGAAGATAGTATAACCTTGTTCCAGAACTCTAGAGGCTTCAGAATTTTCTCCTGGAGCTTGCTAACCACAAACTCCATACTTTATTTCTTTCTACTCCTGACAGGTCCAATATCATAAGGTCTGTTGGATCTCATGTGTTCCACTCAAAGTGGATATCCTTCCATGTCAGCTAATATCAGGGCCAGAGCAATGTTTCTAGGTGTAAAATGTGTTAACTACAGAACTTGAAGAAGCCTAGCAGAAATTGTGCTTCCTTCTTTGTAATAGGACAGACAAGATACAGAAATTTGTCCTTTATTTTGGACAGGACATCACAGCATGCCCCTGACCACTGGACCACAATAAATGTACTGAAGTGGCAGATTCCTGTGTCTTTGTAGGCTTTTTCTTCCATGCTCTGGAGCACAAAGCCTCTAGTCTGCTGACGACCTCTCTCTCACCCTGCCTGAGCAGCAACATGTCTTTGATGTAATGGCTTAATATGGTATTCTGTGGGATTTCTATATAGTCCAGATCTTTTCAGACTATATTATGACAGAGGGTAGAAAAGTTAATATAGCCCTAAAGCAAAACTGTAAGTAAATATTATTGCTGCTCCATGTGAATCTGAACTGTTTCTGATCCTCTTTCCTGATTGTGTTAGGACAGAACACATTTTCAGAGTCAATGACCACATAACATGTGTCTGAAGCTGCATAAATCTACTCTAGCAAAGGTCCCATGTCCTGCAACTGTAATTCAGGCTTAACAATATTTGGCTGAGGTTGTGAGAGTCTATACAGCCATTCCCCAGGATGCATCTGGTTTCTGCCAGAGTGGCAAATTAAATACAGTTATGCTAGGGGCATCCTCTGGCTCTCTAAGAGCATCACTAATCTCTGCCACCCCACCTAGGATATGGTACTGGCTTTCATTGATGTTTTTAGCTGATGCAGGCAGTTTCTGAGGTTTGCACTTCTCCCTCTCCACTGTACTATATCTTACTATAGAGGTCAGGGACTCAATGTGGGGGTTACTCCAATTGTCAATCCAAATTATACATTCAGAGGAAATAACCACTGGGTGGGTCTGTTGACCCAGTGGAATAAAAAAGTTGCATTTTTCTAGGACTCCACTTATTATCTGACACCCACTAACCTTCATTTGAGGAGGGGAGCCATGACGGCAGTTCAGCTCTACAGGTATCAGTGTCAATTCAGACTGTGTGTGCAATAGTCCTTGAATGCCTACCCAGACATTTCCTTTCCTCCAGTGCACTGTAGCTACAGTAAATGATATAGGTCCCTTTGGGGCAGGACTAGAGGAGTTTCTACAGTGTGTGCCTGACGTGGATCATTTCACATCGAGGGTCACTTCTTTGGGGCCCTGGCCAACTCCCTTTGTTAATGGGTTCTAGATCTGAAAACTGCCTCAAATCTGAAAACTTGGCAAGGGATTATGATCTTATTATGGGAGTGACCATCCTTAGCACCCTGCTCATCCATTCTTGCTCTCTTTTATTATATTTTAAGAAGTATCCTATTGATTGTTCGTCTAAGTCTCTTAAGTCTCTTTTTTCATTCCTGATGTTGGTCATTTTGAGTTTTCTTTCCTTTTCTTCTTGATTGACATCTGGAAGAATTTGTTTTTTTCAATTCGATTAGGCTTTTTAATAGATCAACTTTTGGCTTTTTTTCCCCTAAATCTTTATTGTATGCTTGTTATTTCATAAATTTCTAAGTAATTTTTTCAAAAATTATAATTTCATAGATCTAACTATGTTCTATAGTTAGTCTTTTCAGAAAGATATGCAGGTCATTGGCTTTTGGGATTTTTTTTCTCCCCTAACAGATGCATTTAAGGCTATAAATTTTCCTCTAAGTATGGAAATTATTTCCATTATCATTCAGTTCAAAGTAGTTTCTAATTTCCACTGTGATTTCTTCCTCGACTCAAGGGTGATGTAGAAGCAGACTGCTTCATTTCCAATCATGTAGGGATTTTCCAGTTGTGTTGTTATTACTAATATCTAACTCATTTCCACTGTGGCCAGAGGACATATTCTGTATGGGCTCAGTTCATTAAAATTTGTTGACACTTGCTTTATCGTTCAGCAAATTGTCAATTTTGGTAAATATATATTTTTCTGTATGCTCTTGAAAAAATGTGTGATTTGAACTTTTAAAATACATGTGTTACATTGTTTATTATAAAAATAAGTATCTATTATTTCCAAATTATAATACTGGAATCTAGGGACAAAGAGTTAAAAGTCATAGTGCCTAAAGAGTTTACAATCTAGTTCACATCACGATTTGAAAAATAGGTTTATCAAAGTAATAAAACATCTGTAATCAAACAAAAACCTGGACGTTTCACTTGGTTTATTCTCCCCTGACCTCCACCAAATATCTATTACTAATGTTAATCATCTCACTAGGGCAAACATGGCTTCTCTGCACTCTCTCAGATACCTTCACTTTGTCCACATCCACTCTCTTTAACCCTGCTCCCATGTCTGGGAGTCTGGAATGGACACACCAACAGTTTCTTTTCCCTCTGTCTCCCAGTTGGCATTTGGCTAATGGGGAGTCCCAGCAGGACATCAGAAGGAGGAAGGAAAATTATGTTGGGTTATTTTTTTTTTCTCACTGCTCTCTTGTGGGACTGATTTTTATTCCTCAGCTGAAGCTCAAGGGATCCTGTCAAGGAAACCTTCTTCACATGACTTTCTCCTTTCGGGTTCCAGTAACCACTTTCTTCCCTCTCCCTTGAGACTTAGGCCTATGTCAGCTCTCTTGGTCTTTGTCATTGTGGTCTGGAGGGGCCATCGTTACAACCTATCAAATGTCATCATGGTCTGTTACCCTGATGATAATATACTAATTCTTATGGTCAGCAAGAAATATGAAACACACCACATACCTTAATAAGTATCTTCTTACATCTATGTAGGAAGATAGAAGACAAATGGTGTGAAATTTCAGATGCCAGTTATCCTGATGAAGTTTCTCAGGTCAAATGGCCCTATGCTTATGAGCATTATGCCACTGAAGTCATAAGCAGGTTGCTGTACCTTACCTCGTCCACCACAAAGAAATATGCACCACACTTAGTGAGCCTTTTTGTGTTTTTCAGGCCAACATACGTCAGATTTCACATGCTCCTCTGACCTATTTATTGAGAAACTCATAATGATGGCAGTTTTTAATGAGGCTCAGAGCAAAGTAAGGCTCTAACAAGTCCAGTCTGTAGTGCAAAATGTTATAGCGCTTTTAAATGCTGTAGACTCATTGGTATTGGAAACATCTATAGCAAAGAGTGATGCCGTATGGAAGCTCTAGCAAGACCCAAAAGTTGCTTGACACCTAGGGTTTGTAATGAGTCCTTCTTCTGGGACTACCATTTTCGATTTGAAAAGCATCCACTGACCCCGGTAGAGACTGAATATCTAGGCAGGAGATAACAAGTGACTATAAGACCTAAGCTGTTCATGGTGACCTTGATGTTATTTGATACACTGAAGCATAAAATTGGCTCACACGGCAGCATTTTATTATAAAGTATAAATGGAATATATGAGACTGGGCCTGAGTTATTCTGGATAAATGGAATATATGAGACTGGGCCTGAGTTATTCTGGAAGATAGAAGTAAATTGCACTTATGGATGGGACAGACTTCCCTAGAGTTTCTTCTGCTGCTTTGCTTCCTCTCCCGCAGAAGAGGATATCTGTTCACACCTTCTGCTTTATGGGGAATTCTCTAGGGCTGGTTAATGAAGGAAGACAAAGCAATGGGTCTGGTTTAATGGCAGATCTGCAAAGTATAACAGCATAAGCTGGAAATGGATGGCTGCTGCATTTCAGCCCCAACTCTGGATGTTTTTTGAGAGGGATCAATGAAGAAAAATATTTAAATGAGCAGAACCTCAGGTTCTGCATCTGGTTACCCAATTCATGGGGAAAGAAGATAGTCTGTGCAGCAGATGATGTGAACATCAGATTTTAGCATGCTCCTCATGCTGAAATCCTTACACTGACTCATGAGCAGTGACTAATGAGTTGGCTAGCTGCTTGCGGGTAAAAAAAAAACCAAGATTTGAAGATTGGGGACAAAGAGATCTGTAAGGGAGGTATGGACCTGGACCTCCCAGGGTAGATAAAGAGAGTGAGGACCTTTATAGTCTACACACATTCCTACCTGACAAATTCATTGTAGAGGAAGCTCTTATTAATCAGGTGGACCAGAAATAATGTGTTGTGTATATTAGTCAACTTCTTTCCCTAGATACCTTGGGATTTGCTCAATAGGTTCATATACAAAGGGGCATGGCAGCAGGGATGGAGCCCACTCACAGTTTCAGCATCATGGTCTTCCCCTCATTAGTACTGGTCTGGCTGTGCCAGTGCTGAGGGCCTAATTTGTCAGCATCAGAAGCCAACTCTGAGCCCTGGATATGGCACCATTCAGAGGAAACCGGGCAGCTATCTGTTAAAATGTTGATATTACTGCTCTCCTCCCTTCCTGAATGGGGTAACCCTTTGTTCTAATAGTGATATAGGCACAAATTCCAAGTATGAATTTCATTCCCTCCCCAAAACTTCTCTGTTAGTACCAACATTCTTGGTACAACATTACAGAATGCTTTATCTATATTGTGGTATCTGACACACCATCTCCTCTGACTGTGGAAGTCATTTTATAACCAAGGAAGTGTAGCCATGGACACATATCCATGACCTTCATTGACCTAACTAGGTTCTCCACTTGTCAGTAGCAACTGCCTTGATGAAATGATGACATGTTTATTAATATAGTTTGGATATCTGTCCCCACTCAAATCTCATGTTGAGTAACCCCCAGTGCTGGAGGTGTGGTTAAGTGGGAGGTGTTTGGACCATGGAGGCAGATCTCTCATGGATTGAGGCTGTCTTCACAATAGTGAGTGAGTCCTCATGAGAGCTGGTCATTTAAAACTGTGTAGCACCACAATGAGATACTGTCTCATGCCAGTTAGAATGGCGATCATTAAGAAGTCAGGAAACGACAGATGCTGGGGAGGATGTGGAGAAATAGGAACGATTTTACACTGTTGCAGGGAGTGTGAATTTGTTCAGCCATTGTGGAAGACAGTGTGGCAATTCCTCAAGGATCTAGAACCAGAATACCATTTGACCCAGAAATCCCATTACTGGGTATATACCCAAAGGATTATAAATCATTCTACTATAAAGACACATGCACATGTATGTTTATTGCAGCACTATTCACAATAGCAAAGACTTGGAACCAACCCAAATGCCCATCAGTGATAGACTGGATAAAGAAAATGTGGCATGTATACACCATGGAATACTATTCAGCCATAGAAAGGATGAGTTCATGTCCTTTGCAGGGACATAGATGAAGCTGGAAACCATCACTCTCAGCAAACTAACACAAGAACAGAAAACCAAACACTGCACGTTCTCACTCATAAATGAGAGTTGAACAATGAGAACACACATGGAGACAGGGAGAGGAACATCACACACTGGGGCCTGCCAGAAGGTGGGGGGCTAGGGGAGGGATAGCATTACAAGAAATACCTAATATAGATGACAGGTTTGTGGGTGCAGCAAACCACCGTGGTACATGCATACCTATGTAACAAACCTGCACATTCTGCACGTTTCCCAGAACTTAAAGTACATATAAAAAAAAGTGTGTAGCACCTCAACCTATACTCTCTCTCTCTCTCTCTCGTTCCTACTTTTGCCTTCGCCTCGTGCCTGCTCCCACTTTCCCTTCCACCACGAGTAAAAGCCCCCTGAGGCCTCTCCAGAAGCAGATGCTGGATCTATGTTTCCTGTACAGCCTGCAGAACCATGAGCCAATTAAACCTCTTTTCTTATAAATTATCCAGTCTCAGGTATTTCTTTATAACAATGCAAGAACGGCCTAATATAGTTATTAAAGGCTTATTTATGGTACCATCTTGGAGCACACTGGGTGGTTGGGGTACTGTCCTATAGGATGTGATAAATACTTAAACACAGTAGCTAAAACACATAGCCAGAATGTATCAGTTCAGGTGGAGGTGAGAGTGGACGCTCACGTTATTATGACTAATAACTCATTCAAAGAACATTTGCTTCTTGTCTGATAGCCTTAGGATTGGTAGGTTTGGAGGTCTCCTACCTCAGGAGCAGTGCCACCACCAAAGACAGTCATGGTTCTGATGATTTGTGCACTGAGATTGCCCTCTGGACTTTTTGGACTCATTATGTTGACAAGGCAACAGAAAGAGGACCAGTCCCTATACTGGCCAACAAGGTCGATCTCAATTATCATTGGAAATTGGATTTCTGCCACACAATAAGGTCACATGTAGAATCCAGGGTATTCGCTAAGGTGCCTCCTATTACTTTTTTGTGCAACAATCTTGGTTAATTGAAAACTGAGGCAATCTAATAAAGCAAGATCTCTGGAGACTCAGATAACACTAAATGAAAGTTTGGTCAGCATCCCCATCTTCCTGAGGTACTAGAAAAATGTAAGAGAAACAACAACGAAAAAAGGTGGTGGAAGAAGGTGACTATAATCATCAGCTTAAATATTGTGGCCAGCACAGACTCAGGGAGTGAGATGTTTTCAGTGAATGCTTTCTTTCTTTTATTTACCTCAGCCCTGACCCCAGATACCTTAATGTAAAAGGTGCTAGTGATGGCTAACAATTAAATATTAAGTGAAAGTGAGTTAACACTACTATGCAATGATATGCTAGGGGACAGGGTTTGTGTCTCCTGGAGTGGGGGACAACAACTTTCCAATAATATGGCAGAGAAGAGTAGTTGCTCAGGTTCAGAGGACTGATTCTTTAAATTTTATTAAATGCTTGTGATTTGCTAAACACCTGTGCTGAAAATGCAAAGTTTAAAGAAAATA
The DNA here is from genome assembly GCF_000001405.40 of Homo sapiens. Classification (NCBI taxonomy): domain Eukaryota; kingdom Metazoa; phylum Chordata; class Mammalia; order Primates; family Hominidae; genus Homo; species Homo sapiens. The sequence goes on along the minus strand of NC_000022.11, from coordinate 34,666,333 downwards.
GCTCTTGCTTTTTTTTTTTTTTTTTTTTTTTTTTTTTTTTTTTTGAGATGGAGTTTCACTCTTGTTGCCCAGGCTGGAGTGCAACGGCATGATCTCGGCTCACCTCAACCTCCGCCTCCCGGGTTCAAGCAATTCTACTGCCTCAGCCTCCAGAGTAGCTGGGATTACAGGCACGCGCCCCCACACCCAGCTAATTTTTGTATTTTTATTAGAGACGGGGTTTCCCCATGTTGGTCAGGCTGGTCACAATCTCCTGACGTCAGGTGATCCGTCCGCCTTGGCCTCCCAAAGTGCTGGGATTACAGGCGTGAGCCACAGTGCCCGGCTGCTCTTGCCTTTTTAATAAACCCAAAATTTGGAAAAGAAGAAGAAAAGGAAAAATTTACTAACAATTCTATGACCTTAATCCAAAACTTAGCATTTTATTGTATTTTTTTGATTTCTACTTTTTCTCAAATTTAATATTTTAGATCATACCATAAGAGCAAATTCATACAGTTTTTCTCCAGTGTAATGGATGTCTTCCTTCTCTCCCTCCTGATCTATGTGTGCTTTTTTTCCTGTCCTGTGCCTTGGGAGGCTGATGGGTACAGATGACCTCAAATGTGTGCTTGCCCTCCAGCTTTGCCATGCGGGGGACCTGAGCTGGTTATTGGAGAGGAGAAATGGTATTAGAATATTTATTCTGCTGGATCCCTCCATATGGGGTGGCTTTGAGATGGTGTGTCCCTTGGTTTAAAGAAGTCACAACCGCTGTCATCGCCGACTAGGTGTCTCCAAGACACTCTTTTTCCAAGTTCTGGCAATTGCTTTTTTCCCTCACCTCATTAGGCTTAGAGCTAGTGACAGCTCTCCTGTTACTAGCTCTGGGGTACAGCACTATCTCAGATGGTTTCCTATTCTCTGTACACTCTTTGTAAATTGATTATTTCCTGAACCTGTATCAAATTATTCCAGGTTGACTTTATCATCTGTTTCCTTTTAGAACCCTGAATGATATTTGTAATAATACAATATAAAGCCTGGATGAATGCATCATAATTGACTCAATTTTTTTCCTATTAGTGTTATTTATAATTATTTATTAGTTTAATGCTATAGCAAACCTTTTGCCAATGGCTCATTCTCTCCTCTTCTGTTTCTTCCTTTTCCTAACATTTAAAAAAATTTTTGCGGCTGGGTACGGTGGCTCACACCTGTAACCCCAGCACTGTGGGACACCAAGACGGATCACGTGAGGTCAGGAGTTCGAGACCAGTCTGGCCAACATGGTGAAACTTTGTCTCTACTAAAAATATAAAAAAAATTAGCTGGGTGTGGTGGTGGGTGCCTGTAATCCCAGCTACTTGGGGGAGGCTGAGGCAGGAGAATCACTTGAACCCGGGAGGTGGAGGTTGCAGTGATCCGAGATCATGTCATTGCACTCCAGTCTGGGCAACTAGAGCGAGATTCCATCTCCAAAAAAAAAAAAAAAAAAAATTGCTTATATTCTGAAAATTAGAAATATAGCCCCAAACTAGCTGAAATATTTCCAAGTCTCTTAGTACAAATTATTAAAATGTTTTGTAAAGTATTAAACAAATTCATACTACTGCATACAATAGATATGTGTGATATTTTCTCTACATCCTTTCTAATGTTAAATGTTCTTAAAAATAATTTTGCCAAATCTATGGTTTTAAAAAATTAATTCTTTATTCTTAAAATGTATTACTCTCTTAATTACTGATGAGCTTAGATCTTCTACCACATGCTTATCAGGTATCTTTTCCTTATATGTGAATTTCTGTGAATGTTTTTGCCCATTTATTGATCTAGAACTTAGTGTTCTTTTATCCTGACTGATATAAGCCATTTATAAGAAAGAGTTATCACATTGTTTAGATTTGCTGGAACTATTATTTCAAGTCTGACTTCAGCTTTTCTATGTCTCTGTGTTAGGATTTAAAAAATTAAATTCTAGGCACTTGAACCTGTTGATCTCCTTTGTGTTTTATTCTATGGCTCTAAGCTTGGAAAGTTCTTACTCCTATGGAGATTAAGTTCTTATTCACCTTTTTCCCTCTAGTTTTTCTAAGATTTGATATTTTTATATTTAATTCTTTAACTCATCTAAAATTGATTTCTCTGCATTATATGAAATAAGTGTTTAAAATAGATTTTCCCCTCTAAATTGTTATCAGGAGGTCCCAGCACCATTTGTTAAATGATACTTCCTTTTCACATTGGTATGTAATGTCTCCTTTATCATGCATTAAATTCTTATACATACTGGAATCTATTTCTGGGCTGTTTTATTTCATTGATCTGCCTGTCTATTCTTGTGCCAGTATCATACTTTCAAAAAGGACTTCATCAGATATGTTTGCAAGAAGACACACAGGAAAGAAATAGACTGACCATTTGAGGCCAATTGTAAAATTTTGGTTTAACAGAGAGAAAACCATATTCTTTGGTTTTTAAAATTTTTCCTCTTCTTTCAAGAAAATATCTCATTTTTTAAAAGAAAGCAATTATTTATCAACATAATATTAGAAGCTAAAAGTATGTGAAAAGTTGTAAAAATAAAAAAAATTACCTGTTTAAAAGCAGCATAATTCTTCTGCCCTATATAAGTTACTGACATCTTCTGTAGTCCAGGAATTGTGTCTGAACCTTAAATAAATAGTTTTATTTAACCCTCAGATAATTATTTTGTGGGACACATGTTATTATTCCTATTTGTCAAGTCCTCAGAATTTCTCAGGGCTTTACAGCTCAACTAGGATTCAAAATAGACCTCCAGTAACAAAGACAAACAACAATAACAACAACAACAACAACACCTTCTCGTGCTGCATAATGACACTTTGGTCAATGATGGACCACATATAGGACGGTGGTCCCATAAGATTATAATGGAGCTGAAAAATTCCTATTGCTCACTATAGCCATCATGATGTCACAGTACAATGCACTACTCATGTTTTTGGTGATGCTGGTGTGAACAAACCTACATTGTATCACCAGTCATATAAAAGTATCACGCATTCCATTAAGTACAGTACATAATAGTTGATCATGATAATAAATGACTATATTACTGGTTTATGTCTTTACTATCCTATACATTTTATTGTGATTTTAGAGTGTACTCCTTCTATTTCTAAAAACATGTTTGCTTTTTTAACTGTAAAACAGTATGCCATGTTACACGGGCGGCAACCTTACACATCTCTTTACAATCTCTTTATTTCATCACTTCCTGTTGTGCTTGATTTAATCTGGTGGTGTTTTGTTCATTGTGGGACCCTAGGCATGCAAAATTTATGGCTAATGCTGTCAGTAAGAGGACTTATCAAGTGACTGACCTGGAAACAAAATTAAAAGTGATGACAGACAACGAAGGTGGAAAATCAGTGGTGGTTACTGTTTGCCAGGAAGGCAAGTCCCATTCCACCATAGCTACTATCTTGAAGAACAAGAACAGAGGGACAGAAACTGTTAAAAGATCTGCTTCACTGAAGACAACAAGGCTGAGAAAAATTCAGGAGGGGCCCATATCAGATAGGGAGACACTTCTAATGACCTGGATTGAGGACCAGACTCAGAAGTCTATCCCTCTTAGCATGATGATGATCATGGGCAAAGCAAAAAGTTTGTTTGAGATGTTGAAGGAAAAGGCTGAACCCAACTACCATGCTGCATTTACTGCCAGCCCTGGGTGGTTTAAAGAATCACTATTCATGACATATGTGAAAGTAAGTGGTGAGTCTGTGCATGCTGATGTGAAGGCAGATGAAATTTTGAAAATTCTAGCAAGCTGATTGTGGAAGAAAATTACTTGCCAGAGCAAATCTTCAATATGAATGAATCCTCCCTATTCTGGAGAGGGATGCCTGAAAATGACTTTTATACATAAGGAGGCCAAGTCAATATTTGGTTTCAAGGCTTGTAAGGACAGGATAATAGTCTTACTTGGGAAGAATGGTACAGGCTACAAATTGTAACCCTTTGTGATCTGGCACTGTGAGAACCCAAGGGCCTTCAGGCGTATCAATAAGCACACATGGCCAGTGTACTACAGGAGCACTAAGAAGTCCTTTTCCAAGCGCCTTTTCCAAGATACACTTCCAAATTGCTGTATCAGTGAATTGGAGAATTACTGTTTGGAGAATAACATAGTCTTCAAGATTTTGCTTATTGTTGATAATGCTCTTACACATCCTCTTTCTTTCCAATATCGAGGTGTCATTTGTCCTTCCAAACACCACCCCTTTGATCCAACCAATGGATCAAGGAGTAGCAGCTTTTAAGGTCTACTACGTGGAGAGGACCTTTGCCCAGGCTATTGCTGCAACTAAGGAAGACACTGATGCAATTCTGGAAGGATTACAACATCTATGACTGCATCAAAAATTTTGTTTGGCACATTTGTTCTCACTTATAAGTGGGAGATGAACAATGAGATCGCATGGACACAGGCAGGGGAAAACACACACTGGGGCCTGTCAGTGGGTATGGTGTGGGGAAGGAGAGCATTAGAAAAAATGGCTGATGCATGTTTGCTTAATACCTAGGGGGTGGGTTGATAGGTGCAAGAAACCACCATGGCGCATGTTTAGCTATATAACCAAACCTGCACATCCTGCACATGTACCCCAGAACTTAAAATAAAAATTAAAGAAAGGAAAGCAAATAAATAATAAAGTCTAGAGCAAAGAAAAAAAGATTTTTTGTTGGGCTTGGGATGATGCTGTCAAGGAGCGTACGAATGGCATCTGAAAGATAACACTCAAGAAGTTTGTCCCTGGCTTCAAAGGATTTGTCAAGGACGAGGAGGTTGCAAAAACCAACAAGGCTGTGGTTGAGATGGAAAACAAGTTTAACCTGGATGTGGAGGAAGATGATATTGAGGAGGTCCTAAAGGTCCTGAGGAACTGAATAATGAGGAGCTATTGGAAGTGTAACAAGAACATAGTTGGAGAAGAGGCAAGAGAAAAGGAAACTGCAAGTGAGAGAGAAAAAAAAAAGAACCCCCAAGAAAATTTACAGTGAAGGAGTTAGCAGAAGCTTTTGCAGACCCTAACAAGTGCTTTAAAAGATCCCAACAACGAAAGGTTTACACTAATACAGAGGAATGTTTATGGTGCATTACCTGCGGAACGCAAATTTATAATGGGAAAGAAAAACAAGCCAAGCAAACCACCATAGATATATTTCTAAAAAGAGTGACACCTCTGCAAGAAAAGCCTCAGGCAGTTTCTTCCAAAGGGGTTTGTACCCTGAAAGACACAATCTCAAATGCTGTAATCCCAAATATTGAAATCCCAAAAGATTAACATCCCTAAAGTCTAAAACCCCTAGTGTCTAAAATCTCAAAAATTCACACAGGATAGTTGCATCATGTTAGGTAGGAATGCTACCATGTTATTGGCTTTATGCAGAAAAAATTGATTTTAATTGAATCCCCAAACATAATCACAGATTTGTAATTGGGTGAGATCAAGGCTTCTAAAAGTTCAAAGTGTTACCAATAAAGTTTGTGTTTTCCGTTTAGCCCAATACATTTGGCAGAAAATGCAGATGAGTGGATTGGACGTGCAACACAGCAATAATGAAAACTTCATCTTAAAAACACATCATTTGCCTGCATTGATATCCCCTCCATCTGATGACATTCCAGGAGGTTTTAACGAATTAAAGCCACATTTACTTGAAGAAGTCAATGAAGTTACTGATTGGTTCAAAATAATGATGTCTATCTTAGCATAAGAAGACACTTAAGCAACAGTGATTCCATTCACTTTCCAATATTGTTTCCACCAAATTTGTGGTCTGTGTATGGAACGGATTTCCACTTTCCCAAAACAATTTAGAAGCATGACACAGAAGATGAGAAAATTCAATAGAGAATGCTCACGTTAGTGTATATTGAATCAGAAGACTCAAAAAGAGAAGCACCACATAGAAAATGAATGTGAACATACTATCTGAGGAGAGTCATGCCGTAAAAGAAAAAAAAACAAAACCTCTTCATTGTGATGTAAGGCATCAAAATAAAGTTAATTATCATGAAAGTCAGCTAGCTCTTATGAAATATCTCCACGGAATTGCCCATAATCTATATTTTCATACACTTTTTCATATGTCAAATTTTCTTTTCCGTTATTTTTTACTATTTTAAATTATCAGCATTATTTTTTACAATTCACTGTGCTATGTATTTCATCTTCACATCATTTCCAATACCGGAGGTATAAACTGTATAAAGATTTTTGGAGAGTTCTAATTGTTTTACACATCTTTTGCAAATATTGTTCCACGAAAGTGCATTACCACAACATTGACTTTGTGTGTAAGCATTGCGACGGTGCATAAAAATGTTAAAACTTCTTCACTGTATGAAGAGGTATCCTTTTCATATGTCTGCATTCGTGAAAGATAAAATTTCTCAAGATCGTGAGTCTTTGGGCCACTGGTGCGGTGGTGATGCAGTGGTGACCCATCAAGTTTTTGACTGATCTCAAAAGACTTAGTTTGTCCATCATGGTATTTCAGATGACTGCAGTTATAAAGCTGAGTGCACACAATTACCAACTACAGTAATACACATTTAAAATTTTGCTTCTTGACCTATTTCTTCATGCATATGGTTCCTTTGCTCATAGCTCTTACACTCGTGTGACTGTTGTTAGTATACCTGAGTATACTTCATGCTTGCCAAAATATGTAGACTATTATTGCCTATTGTATTGTGTAAAGTGGCCCATGATCTGTCATGTTTTCAAATAAATCATTTTTTAAAAAATGTAAATAAATATATTGAAATATAATTTTAAATTATATTTTCCAGAATTATAGTTTTGAGACTTTGATCTTTCAGGATTTCCATATTTGGGATTACGGCGTTCAGGATTATGTCTTTTGAGATTATGATCAGCTTCCCCTTCGGAAGGTATTCTGGAAGAAGGCATTGTTATTTTAGGAGATGGCAGCTCAATATGTGTTATTGCTGCTGAAGACCGCCCAGTGGGACAAGTTGTGGAGGTAGAAGATAGTGATATGGATGATCCTGACCTTGTGGAGGCCTAGGCTAATGTGTGTTTTTGTGTCTTAGTTTTTAGCAAAAAAGTTTAGAAAGTAAAGTAATATATATATATTTTTTGAGACGGTATTTCACTCTGTTGCCCAGGCTAGAGTGCAATGCTGCAATCTCGGCTCACTGTAACCTCTACCTTCTGGATTCAAGTGATTATCCTACCTCAGCCTCCCAAGTAGGTGGGATTACAGGCATGTGCCACCACACTTGGCTAATTTTTGTATTTTTAGTAGACTGGGTTTCACCACGTTGGCCAGGCTGGTCTTGAACTCCTGACCTCACTTGATCTGCCTGCCTTAGCCTCCCAAAGTGCTAAGATTACAGGTGTGAGCCACTGCGCCTGCCTAAAATAAAAATTTTCTAAGTAGAGAAAACCTTATGGAATAAGGATACAAAGAAATATTTTTGTAGAGCTGTACAGTGAGTTTGTGTTTTAAGTTGTGCTATCATAAAAAGTCAAAAAGTTGAAAAAATTAAAAAGTTTATAAGGTAAGAAAGATACAGTAAGCTAAGATTAATTTATTATTGGAAAAAGAAAAACGCAGACCAGGCGCAGTGGCTCACGCCTGTAATCCCAGCACTTTGGGAGGCCAAGGTGGGCAGATCACCTGAGGTCGGGAGTTTGAGACCAGCCTGACCAACATGGAGAAACCCCGTCCCTACCAAAAACACAAAATTAGACAGGCATGGTGGCACATGCCTGTAATCCCAGGTACTCACGAGGGTGAGGCAGGAGAATCGCTTGAACCCGGGAGGTGGAGGTTGTGGTGAGCCGAGATTGCGCCATTGCACTCCAGCTTGGGCAACAAGAGCAAAACTCTGACTCAAAAAAAAAATTAATAAAAGAAAAATACTTTAAAAATAAACAGTGTAAACTAAATGTACAGTATTTATAAGGTCTACAGTAGTATACAACAATGTCCTGGGCCTTCACATCCACTCACCATTCACTCACTAACTCACCCAAAGCAACTTCCAGTCCTGTAAACTTCATTCACGGTAAGTGCTCTGTAGAGGTGTACCATTTTTTATCTTTTATACCTTATTTTTACTGTACCTTTTCCATGTAGAGATACGTTTACATACACAAAGACTTACCACTGTGTTACAGTTGCCTACAACATTCAGTGCAGTAACGTGCTGTACAGGTTTGGAGCCTAGAAGCAATAGGCTATACCGCATGCCTAGGTATGTAGTAGGCTATACTACCTAGGTTTGTGTAAGTGCACTCTAACGTGTTCACACAATGACAAAATCACCCAAGGATGCATTTTTCAGAAGGTATCCCTGTCTTTAAGCAATGCAGACTGTATTTATCTGGCTTCATCCCCTATTGCAATGTAGGAATTACCCTTCCATTCTTCACAAGTAAGCCAGTGGAATCTACATGAGTAAAATGTCCCCATAATTAGCTCTTGCATCACCATGTGGCATCTTACTGTTGACCTTCTCTCCTGCTCCAGAAATCTGTGACATACTCTAGCAAAATGCCATTAATACTGGGGAAAGTTACCAACATTCAGCCCAAGGCTGCTGATGCCCAACTAAAGGAAATGGAAAGGGAAGCAGGCAGTCTTACATGGCCGCAGGTAAGAGAGGGATAGAGAGGGGAAACCTCCACCTATAAAACCATCAAATCTTGTGAGAACTCTTTGACTATCAGGAGCACAGCATGGGGGAAACCACCCCCATGATCCAATCACCTCCCAGCAGGTCCTTTCCTGACAGGTGGAGATTATAATTTGGATTACAATTTGAGATGAGATTTAGGTGGGGACACAGCCAAACCATCTCAAAGGACTTGACGTAATGTTGCTGGTTTGAAGAAGGGGCTATGTGAGAAGGAATGTGAGCAGCCTCTAGGAACAGAGTGGTCCCTGGCAGCAAAGAAATGGGGACTCATTTCCACAGTCATAAGGAAGTGAATTCTTTCAACAACTTGAATGAGCTCCGGAGAGGATTTTTCTCCAAAGCCTCCAGATAAAAGCTCAGCCCAGGCTGGGGGTGGTGGCTCACACCTGTAATCCCAGTACTTTGGGAGGCCGAGGCAGGTGGATCATGAGGTCAGGAGTTCAAGACCAGCTGGCCAAGATGGTGCAACCCTGTCTCTACTTAAAATACAAAAATTAGCTGGGCATGGTGGCAGGCGCCTGTAATCCCAGCTACTTGGGAGGCTGAGTCAGAGAATTGCCTGAACCCAGGAGGTGGAGGTTGCAGTAAACCGAGATCGTGCCACTGCACCACTGCACTCCAGCTTGGGCAACAGAGTGAGACTCCTTCTGGAAAAAAAAAAAAAAAAGCAACAACAACAACAAAAAGCTCAGCCCAGCTGATACTGTGATTTTAGCCTTGTGATATCCTTAGTAAAGAATCCAATTTTTGACCTAAAGAACTATGAGTTAATAAATACGTGTTGCTTTAAGCTGCTAAATTTTTCATAATTTGTTATAGAAGCAATAGAAGATGAATACACTTGGTAGTGTGCCTTAATATCACAGTATTAATAATAATGTAATAATAATGAAGCATTTATTGCAAGCTTACTATATACCGAGTCCATTATAGGCATTCTGTCAATGAATCCTCATTTCACCTGTACGACCTAGGTTACAAATTCCTCAAAGTAACCTATTAAGTAATGAAACCAGGATTTGAATTTGCTGAAATCTTCTATTAAAATAAAAAATGATCCCATTCCCCATATGTTTATGCATTGGTTCATCAACACTGTCCTGGCATGCAATTCCTTTGCAGATTTTCCAAATACAGATGCCACACTACACACATCATCACGGTCTCCCCTTTACTTAGCAGCACTGCAAGTCTTGAGGACTGTGCTCTGGTACTTCCAACATCCTGATGTTCCCACTCAAAACTTCTCTAGCTACCCAAACCCTTGGGTCCATCTATCTCCTCTCCATTTCCTTAGCGCCAGTTATTAGTATCATTGATTTGGCATTTAATGCCATGTAACATTATAACAATCCCTCTATATTGTATTTAGTGTATTTCTGTTCTTAGTAGAATATAAATGCTTTCTGTTTTGGTCACTGTTGGGTTCCAAGCACCTAAAATAGTTTCTAACTCATTGGAGATGAAATACTCTTGTTGAATGAACGAACACATGAACTTAGACATTTTTCACCGCTCTCATTCAAATTATATTTATCTGATTCATTTCAAATCAAGTTCTTCTAGGCTTCTGCATGATCATCTGATTTTTACTATATCTACACTTGGTGGGGACCATGCAGAAGATGAAATGTGGGAACTTTTCCTTTAATCCATATCTGTTAGTGCCATAGCCATGGATGAAAAATACTATTTATTCCTTAACTGCTTTGTTCTTGGTCTTTTTGAAGTACTTTACATATATACATTTTCTCATTTAACCTTTACACTACCATATGAGGTAGGTTTAGTAGCTCCCATTTAAACAATGAAGAAATTGAAGATCAGAGAGGCCAACCCAAAGCTACATGGCTTACAGAGGTCATGACTGCCATTCAGACATTTCTGAATCCAAAGCCCATATCTTTTAGCATGCCACTATAGCATGCCACTAGAATGAAAGCTCCACAAAAGCAGGATATTGATTTTGTTTTTCCCTGTATCTTTAGTGCCTAGCATGTATTTGGAGATTAATGCACAGCTGTTGAATAAATGAATGAATCAAAGAACAAATGAATGAAACACGTCTTCTCTCTAGTTCTGCTTCAGAGGGAAAATTCTCATTTTTCATCCAAGTAACTTTTATTTAGATTCTCCTATACATGTTTTGGCTCAATTTCCACTTTCATCTTGGCCTTACAGAGGTATTAGTGTATCAGAATTGTAGGGTTTCTTAGAAGGTAGTTTATTCAGCTTCCCACCAATGCAGAAATCCTTTCTATGGCATCCTGGACAGATGGCCAGCCAGCCTCTACCTAAACACCTCCAGTCACGGAAGACAAAGGGGAACAAGAGCCTGTTTTATTTTGGGGGAAGTTCTGATGATTAGAAACACATTCATCTGATTGAACTGGATTCTTCCATATCAGTATTCTTCATGTTGCAAGAAACAGAAAGCACATCTGAAGATGGCTTTAGACACAGTGAGAATTGCTCAAATCAGTACTTGAGTGGTTCAATGTTAAGGTGAATTTCAGGTACAATTTGAGCCAGAGGTTCATAGTGTCCTCAAGGCTCTGATTCCATTTCTTGGCAATCCTTTATGCCCTGACATCTTCCATGTGTCAGCACTCTCATTTGACTACTTTTTTATAATAGGAAAACGTGTCAAAAGCAGTTCTAGGGTCTTCTAGCCACACACCACCATTATCTTGAGTAAGAGATTAAGAGCTTTTATTCCAGATAATCAAACTGGAATAAGTGGTGAGGCTTACTCTAATTAGACAGGATTAAGACCTCATAATTCATGGGGCCAGAATGATAAAACACAGCTACTGATTTAGCCTAAGTCAAGGATTCCAAGGCCATTATGTTATGATGCAGAAGGGGAGTATAGTGATGTGGAAGTGTTTGAGTGGAAGGGGGTGTAACAAACACTCTTGGCCAAGGGTCTCCAACCCCTAGGCCACAGACTGGTATGGATCTATGCCCTGTTAGGAACCAGACTGCACAGCAGGAGGTGAGCGGCGGGTGGGTGGGCATTACTGCCTGAGCTCTGCCTCTGTCTGATCAGCAGTGCCACTAGATTCTCATAGGAGTGCAAACTCTATTGTGAACTGCACAAGAGAGGCTGCACATTACTTATGAGAATCTAACTAATGCTGATGATCTGAGGTAGAACAGTTTCATCCCGAAATCATCCCTGCTCCCAACCCCCACCCTATCCATGGAAATACTGTCTTCCACAAAACTGGTCCCTGGTGCCAAAAAGGTTGGGGACCACTGTTCTTGGCTACCCTGTAATCCTTCTGAATTCTGGCCTTCCAACAGCAATAAAACTGTATTCATGTGTCTACACTCCTGCCATGCAGTCCATGTGACTCAGAGGCAGCTACTTTATCACTGGGTAGATTCCATGCTTAATTCCTGATTAGCCTCATGTAATCAGTGCATGGAACTCCTCTGGTGACCGTGATTGGTCTGGGGTTAGGCAGCAGCTGAAGTTGAACCAATAAAACAAAGGGGAAAGATTATATTCTGTGTCCGGGGAAGAGGTTTTCCTCTCTCCTTCATAGAGATAAATGGGAAAGTGTGTAGTCCAGATTGCCACCAGAAGAGTTTTTTTGTGACTATAATGGTGTCAGCCTTAGAATGAAGCTGTTGTTACTGACCACAGAATGGAAATGGAAAGGACTCAGTCAACAAAGGTATCACTGAGCTTCTAAGAGGTCCATGTTTGGATCCCTTCCCAACTAGAGCTCACTAATTCCAGCTATGTGAGATAATAATATTATACTGCCTAACCCTGTTTGTTGAATTATCCTTACCCTTGCAGGCAGAATGGTTGTTGGAGAAGCAACCAGGAGGCAAGCACAACCTCATAGGATTCTTCTTCCATCCATCCATTGGCTCAATCTCTATCCCACAAAATTTTAAGGACAGGTGTCTGCCCACATGGTACAATACTTTAGAACAGCTGATGATCTGAGATGGATCAGGCTATTATTCCTAGCCCTTTGGTAATTCTCCATATGTCATGGCATCTGGACTCTTCATCATGGCCATTCTATTCTGCAAATATGACAAGGCTTGTACAATTGAACATCATATTCCAAACATGGCCTGGCCTCCTCTGGGTACAATGAGAATATTATGTTACATAATATATGATCTAACTTGGTAGAATGCAAAGAAAACTGGAGTAAATGTAATTGTAAGGGATTCAAGTCCACGATCCACCTACTTCAAGCAAATCTTCTAACCACACCGAAACTCAGCTTTCTTCTTGATAAAATGGGAATAATAATCCCTGTTTACTTCAAAACATTGACATGCAAATCAGTTGAAATAATGGAAGCAAAATTCCTTGTAAATTGTAAAACTATATGAATGTGAGAAATGATGATTAATGCATCTTAAGATGGGTCAGTTTCCTTAAGCAGTTGTATCACATAGTTTAATTACAACCTGCCTTGTTTCAGAAAGAATTTCAAGCTTTTATAAGAGAACATAAAAAAGACAAGATGGCATAAATTAAAAACAATTTTTTTAAAAAAAAAGGAAAAAAAATCAGCAAAGTCAGGAAACAGACATTGAAAGTCTGGCCCAGCGTAGGCACTCAGTCAACGTTTTTCAATGAATATTTGGGTTGATCACAAATTCTCCTCTGAGGTTTCTTGAAGCCAGTGTGATTACAGAAATTGTGTCTGTTATGCAGTTCTCAATTCCCATGGAAAAAAAATAAAATAAATGTAACCTCTCTGGGGTAGCTTTTTTGGATTTCCTAGCTCAGGAGACACATTATCATCACATTTACATTAATATTTCAAAATTCACATCTACATAAATCATATTAGCAGGACCTTAAACCTCTGAGATATGACTCTACAGACCCAGGCCATGTAGCCACCCCCAGCCCTGAGACCCTACGTGTCTGGTGGTTCAGAGGGGAGAATTTCTCTTCCTACCCAGATGAAGGCCCACCTTCTGGGTCCCCTTTTTCCACTTCGGGATCTCCCTCTTCTCGTCAGATTGGCAGTTTGGTTGTCCCCTACTTTCAAGGAAACCCAATCCCAGCCAGAGAGATATGACTTTACCCTCTGGTGTCAATGAACAACTATATCTGCATGCAAAATTATTTTAACCTTAGTACAGCTCCCCAGAGCAGAGTTATTCAGGCTTAAATAATGTCTTCCTGTGTTCAGGTTGAACTTTGCTTTTCTAAGCTGCCTCGCATGCTCCTTTCAGTCTGAGGGGAAGATCAGATCAGCTCCTCCAACAAAACAGGCTTGTTGAAGGAACGCATGAATGGTGCAATTCGGAGAAACTCTCTGAGTGGCCTTCGTATCATCAAATGCTTAGATCTGTCACAATAAATGTGGTGATCACGGAATTATTTTTTTAGGTTCACTTAATTTTCAAGAAAATGCTATAAATAAATGTATACATAAGAAACAGGGTTAGAGTAGATAGCAACCCTTCTAGATTGACGGAACTAGTGAGCAGCAGTCCGAAGGTGTGGATTCAGACTTGTTTCATTGTAAATTCTATCACTTAACCTGGCATTATGGCAGCTATGTTGGACCTAAGTGACTAAAGGAATAGAAGAATTCATTCAACAAACATTTATCAAACTCATTCCTTGGGCTAAGCCTTGTATTTGGCCCTTCTGCACTATTACTTATCTTTCATTAATGTACTCATTAATTCTTCTGGTAATATCTTTGTTCTCTATTTCAAGCAGAGTGGAACTTCTTACCTGGATTTCTCCTTTGAGGCTGTTTTCTGAGACTTGGTACCAAAATGACAGATGCCCTGTGAATGTAGGCACATTAAAGAGAGGGAACACAGGACTTTCTTGCTCCCTTTATGTATTATTTCACATTTAATTAGCCTGGGTAATTTCTTCCAAAACCTCTCACATCTGCTGCCAGCCCTCCGAATTCCTGTGGCTCATTTTGTCTTGGGAACTTCTGTCATCTGCACTTGGGGACCTCCGTCTTTGATTTCACTACCAAGTAAAGCAGTACGATCTGCCCCTGTTTCTCAGTGCTTACCGTAGCCTTTGTTGGGGTCTGGTACCGACATGCTCACAGACAGGGCTACGACTTTAGTTTGCCAGGGCCAGGGAGTGAGTCAGAGAGAGAAGACAGATCCCCAAAGACTGAAAAGAGTATGCATGAGGATGTGTTTGTTGAAGGTGTGCTGCGGAGAAAGTGTAAATCTGCTGGTTAGTGTAAATCTGCCAGTTAGCTGGAAATGAATACAAATTCAGCATTAATTTGTATTCATTTATTCCACAAGCAAGAGGGCTTGAGAGGCTGCACAGTGGAGCACACTCCAGATGAGGGAAGAGAAAGCCTGGATTCTGGTTTTGACCTTGTTGCTCACTTGTAAGTGAATTTGGACCTATTATTTCCTGACCGAGCTTCAGAGTCTCTCTCTGTCAGGTGGGTTTATTAATAACTGCCTGTCTATGGAGCAGTCATCTTATGCCCTATTCTTCAGCTCCAGCTCCACCAAAGTAACACAAAACATATTACTTAAACCTCCAAGCCTCTACTTTCTCATCTGAACAATGGGAATAAGGATAATACCTAATTCAGAGCACTATTGTGGAGACTGAATGAAGCAGAGCATGGGAGGAATTTATACGAAATACAGTAAGCCCTGAAACCATGTTAGCTACATGATATAGTTTGGATGTGTGTCCCTACCCAAATTTCAAATCACATTGTAATCCCCAATATTAGTAGTGAGGCCTGGTGAAAAACGGTTGGATCGTGGGGGCAGTTTCTCATGAATAATCTAGCACCATTCCCCTTGGCAATTTCCTTGCAATAGTGAGGCCTCATGAGATCTGGACATTCTAAAGTATGTAGCACCTCCCCTCTTCTCTGCCTTGCTCCTGCTCTGGCCAAGCAAAGTGCCTGCTCCCTGTTCGCCTTCGTCGTAATTGTAAGTTTCCTGAGGCCTTCCTGGAAGCCAAGTAGATGCCAGCATCATGCTTTCTGTACAGCCTGCAGAACCATGAGCCAATTAAACATCTTTTCTTTATGAATTACCCTGGCTCACATATTTCTTTATAGCAATTGGAGAACAGACTAATACAGCTGGCTTCGTCAATATTACTCTCTCATAGGATTGTTGTAAATAACAAATGAAACTTTACATATTCCCATTCAGTACAACCCCATGAAATAATCATAATTATATATGAACAATAAAAACATGTTATGGATTTACAGGATCATTGGTATTGAACACTTACCTTGCACCCAGCAATATACTAAGATAGCAGAAACATATCTTTAGGATAACAGGATTTTACAGATGATCTGATTCTGTTCTCATTTTATAGGCAAACACTGAGGCACAATGAGACAGAATTACTTGCTAATATCCAGAGCTGACTAGTGACAGATTGGAACTAGAAACCAGATCTCCTGGAGCCTTAATATGGTTTTTATTTCCATCTGTTGCATTTTACATATGAAGAAACCAAAGCTGGAGAAGCTGAATGAAATGCCCTCCGTCATGTAGGTAAGCAGTGGTACATCTAAGATTCATATTTATAATAGGTCACATTTATGGTGCGCTTTATGTATGCCAAATATTGTTCTCAGTGCTTTGTGTGTATCATATCATTTAACCCTCTCAAAAAACCTTATGAGTTACTATTGGGATCTCCAGTTTTCAGACATTGGGATGGAGGCACAGGAAGTCCAGTAAATTGCCGAAAGTTGCACAAGAGGTGCCAGGATTAGAACACAGAGCATCTGGCATCAGAATCTGCACACTTCACCCCTGTAAGTGTTTGGAGTCTTTAAACCTCATGCTATTATCCTCTCCTGGCCCAGGCCTTGGGCACTAATGAGTTTGAGCTCTAGTCAGGGATAAGGCTTAAGGACAAGGAGCAAGGAGCAGCGTCAGTGGCAGTAAACAGACTGGCCACTGGATGACAAAAGAGCACATTTGTGTGGAGGCTGAGAAGCCTAAGAGCTGCAAAGGGGCCAGCACTTATTTGGAGCCTGTTGCTTTTAAGTTTCAGAGTTGCCAGGTGCAGTGGCTCATGCCTGTAATCTCGGCACTTTGGGAGGCTGAGGCAGGCAGGTCACCTGAGGTCGGGAGTTCAAGACCAGCCTGGCCAACATGATGAAACTCCATCTCTATTAAAAATACAAAAAATTAGCCAGGCCTGGTAGCAGGCACCTGTCATCCCAGCTACTCAGGAGGCTAAGGCAGAAGAATCACTTGAACCCAGGAGGCGGAGGTTGTGGTGAGCCGAGATCACGCCATTGCACTCCAGCCCGAATGACAAGATTGAAACTCCGTCTCAACAACAACAAAAAAGCTTGAGAGTTATTAGAACCTCTCTGATAAAACAAAACTCTCTTGGCTGAGGTGTGTTGGCAGGAGGGAAGACAAAACTGCCTCTGGTGGTTCACCGGGAAGAGGGAAGACCTGCATGGCCATCTGACGCCCCAGTATAAATTGTCATAGAGTGGTGCATTCTGGTGAAGACACTGCCCACCCCTCACTCAACCATGCAGGCAGATGCACGCTGAGCATGAGAGTAGCAAGCAAAAAGCTGTAATCTAAAAAACCCAAGTTCATGTAAGAACTAATAAAATAAATAAGAACTGCAAATACAGATTCTAACTGCTTCTATTCACAACATAAATAGCCCAAATCTGCTTCTTACCAGTTCAAGTGACTGTAAGTTACTTCACCTCTTTATGCCTGTTTCCTCATATATAAAATAAGAAAAATGCTAGTAGCTAACTCATAGCGTGGCTATCATGAACTGGATGTTTGTGTCTCCACCAAATTTCAACCTAACCCACAATGTGATGGTATTTGGAGATGAGACCTTTGGAAGGTAATTAGGATTAGATGAGGTCATGGGGGTTGGGCATTCATGATGAGACTGGTGTCCTTATAAGCGGGCATCAGAGAAAGATCTCCCTCTCTCTCTCTTTCATGATATTTTATTATGGAAGCCCTAGCAGACTAAGACAGCAGTTGCGAAAATTAAATGAGATAATCCATGCACCCATGCCTAGTGATTGCTATGGGTGTGTATGTTTGTGTGTGCATTTCTTTTATTTATTTTGAGACAGAGTTTTGCTCTTATTGCCCAGGCTGAAGTGCAATGGAGCTATCTAGGCTCACCGCAACCTCCGCCTCCCGGGTTCTAGCGATTCTCCAGCCTCACCCTCCTGAGTAGCTAGGATTACAGGCATGCACCACCATGCCCAGCTAATTTTGTATTTTTAGTAGAGACGGGGTTTCACCATGTTGGCCAGGATGATATAGATTTCTTGAACTCATGTTCCACCCACCTCAGCCTTCCAAAGTGCTGGGATTACAGGCGTGAGCCACCATGCCCAGCCATGTGTATTTCAATGTGTGATATATTTATATATCTACAGTGGAATGCACATCCGTAGTCCAGGATGCTATTGTGGGCCTATCCTCTAGGTACAAGGGTGTGTGTGTGTGTGTGTGTGTGTGTGTGTGTGTGTTTTCCCTGGCTCAATTAACACTAACCAACTCCAGCCCACACAAAAACCTGTATTAACACCTATAGTTAAAGCATTGCTGTACCTGGAAAATGGGCCCACAGTAGCATTCTGCACTACAGACGTATGTTGCCGTCGGGATGAAGAATGCCTTGCCATTCATTTTACATCCTGGAAAAACTGCTGAACTAGCACTGCCATCTCTGCAGCAGTAGATGGGCCCCATGGCCAATGCAGGCCTAGGTTTCAATGTCAACCCTGTATGAAGCAACAGCAAAAAATGGGGCCCACCTGCTGACTGATTCTCCAGCTCTCTGTGAAGCATTTAGAGCAGACTGCCTCCTTCATGCTGATTAAGCATTCTCGGACAATTCAGGAGCAATAGAGAGGTCCCCAGTAAGAACTTCTGGGCTTCTGGGTAATTTGGTCATATGAAAAGCTTGAGAAATTAATTACATTATTAAGAGAGATGTGACTTTATTTGTTCTGCAACTAGTTACAAGAAATAATAGAGGGGCATTTAATGAGCATTTACCATGCTCCAGGCACCCAATATTAAGTAATTTACATAACTCTTCTCCTTTATTCTTTGCAAGATGGAGAGGGTAGGTTGTCTTATCCACATATTATACACAAGGTGACTGAGCCTCAAGGACAGAACTCTTGTCCAAAGTCACAAAGGTCTGGTGTGGCAGACCCAGAATTCAGAATCAAGAGTTTTGATAGCAAAGGCCAGATCCTTTCCATGGTGAAATACTGCAGTGCTTGAAATAGGGAGGGAGAACTATTATAATAAATGTGTTATATTATAGGATGTGTATGTGTTTTGTAAGTTTTTTGGGCAGGAAACTAACTAATCAGTGTGTCTTGCCTTTAAGAGAGAAAGTTTAATTTAAAAAGGTGGCATTCAAATGGGAGGACTAGCCCTACTGCGCGTCTGGGTTCACCAGGTGAACTTGGCCAAATCAATTTTTTTTTTTTTTTTTTTAGTTTAAAGAGGAGCCCATCTGGAAAACTGGGCACAGTACAAGGGCCTTTTTCTGTAAACCAAATCTTGTAACAGCGCCAGGCTTTGTCCCTGAGAAGGAAGTTGCCACAAAACGAGAGGCAGAAAGAATCCTTTTCCAATGCAAGAGCCATTCTAGGGCTGTGTGTGAATGCTGTGCCAGGAGGCAACACAATTAGCAATTCCTGACACCAGCGGCTGCCACTCTCCTGGGCAACATCTGTGTTGGAATCAGCATCTGCCGGCTCACCTTTCCCAGCCAGGATGGAGGCTGTGCTCATCCTGCTGACCACATGCTCCATGCCAAGTGCAATTGGCAGAGCCCTGCTATCTATTCCCCTGAGGGTTGACTGGCATGGCCATCTTGAGGAAGGGACAGTTTGAAGGCCCCCAGGTCGTCCTACAATCAATGCTGATATTGCCAACAAAGCACCTTGCTTGTAAATATGGACCATGGCCCAGAGGACAAGGGAAACACAATAAATACGATTGAAATGGATGCTGAACATATTAGAATGTCTGCTGCAAGGTGCCTGCAGAATTTGTTTGTTCAACAGCACTAATAATATTAGCTACCACCAATTTAGCAGTGACTTCCTGCCTGTCCCTTTGATAAGGGCTTTATGTTCATTATCTCAAATGATCCTGACAACACAGAGAGCAAGGTGCAATCACACACTTCATTTTACAAGACAGGGAAACTGAGGCTCAAGGAGACTAAGGAACTGACCAATATCATACTCCACTTGTGAGTGGCAAAGCCCAGGGAGAATTCAAATTAGTACCACCCCTGAAAATGCTCACCCCATACTGCCTTTCTCCCACTTCCATCCTTGCTAAAATTAATCCTGGAGGACATATCCCAAGGAGGACATCCTTTTTAAAAGGAACATACAAATACATACCCACCTCTTTCATACATTTTGTGACTCTATGTTCATACTCATGACAAGAAACATCACAGTTTCCTGGGGACGATGAATCTAATTTGTAATTTTGATTGAAGAAGTGAAGTAAATGTTTGAATTTTAGACAAAAATGTCTATGTTCTTTTTCTCTCTGGTCCCAAATTTCATCTCTAAAGCCAAAGGGCTGGACGACGGAATATCTAAGGTCTCTTCTACTTCCAAAATGCTGTGGTGTCTCAGAAAACCTGCATCCCAGGTGTGCAGAGGGCAAAGTGAGTACAACTCTTCCCAATGCATAGAGATCCTACACCAGCGTTGGCTCCATTCGCTCCTTTCTTTCTTCCTCAACATGGCTTTTTTCTTATTTTCTGTCTGTCCAATTTCCATCTGGGACTTCTCAGATGGCACAGTCCCAACTCAGGTATCACCTGGTGCCTGAGGCTTTCCAGGAGTCACTGAGCTAGAGATAGCCTCCTTTTCTTAAAACCATGTGGGGTCTACCAGCAAATGAATGCCCTGGCTATGCTGTCTTGTAGGGCAACATGGTTGAGAATTCCCTGTTGGCTTCCCTTGGACTGGCCAGCAGGTGGGAGCAAAGCAGGCACTTAGCGCGTGGCTGTGGCTGGGATGGACCAAAGAGGGGCATGGCAATGAAGAAACTGCACGTGGGACTTGTGGAGCGGAGAGAAGGGAGACACGTTCTACAGTTGTTATGAGTGTAAGATTTGGGAAGAGAGATGCAAACCTACATATTAGGAGTTCTTGGCATTGACTGTATTTCTACCCTCTGACATTTTTAAGTATGATGGCCGGGGAAGATTTGATTGTCATTAATTCCCTCCTGACAATGAAACTTTTTCTTAAATGTGACTTTGTTCAGGGACTGGGCCACTGGGAGCACTGGGATTTATATAGTTTAGAGCAATGTTTGCTGACATTGCTTGTGACTACTTATGGCAACCTCCCCCCAGACTCTAGATCCGTCTGCCTCCCACCCCTTGTGTGAGTTTTGTCCCATCACAATACCTATGGTTCCCTTCCTGTCAGCTTGCTTTCATTCTTGCTTTTTTGTTTGTGTCTCCATGGAATTCCCTTTCTTTCTACCCTCTGGAACCATCTTTCTAGACTAATCTCAAACATCATCTTTTTGAAGCCTCCCCAGACATAACAGCTAGGTAGAACTACCACTCACTCTCATGCTTGCACTCTATCCTGGAGAGTGTGTACCACAACTAGATACCATAGACTTTTAACTCCATTGATTTGTTCACTGATCTGTTTCCTCTGCCACACATTGAGCTCCTAGAGGCTGAAACCACATTGGAATCCTTTATAATCTCCAGCATTCAGTAAATGTTTGTTGAATTAGTGAAGGTAAGAATCTTTAGGGTGCCTAGAGCAGAGTTTTGTACATGAAAAATAAAAAGTAAATTCTGGCCGGGCGCAGTGGTTCATGCCTGTAATCCTAACACTTTGGGAGGCCGAGGCAGGCAGATCATCTGAGGTCAGGAGTTCGAGACCAGCCTGGTCAACATGGTGAAACCCTGTCTCTACTAAAAATTCAAAAACTAGCTGGGTGTGGTGGTGCGTGCCAGTAATCCCAGCTACTTGGTAGACTAAGGCAGGAGAATCGCTTGAACCCAGGAGGCAGAGGTTGTAGTGAGCTGAGATCACACCACTGCACTTCAGCCTGTGTGACAGAGCGAGACTCTGTATCAAAAAAGAAAAAAATAATATCTCACATTTATTTAGTGTTTACTATGTACCAAAGAGTATGTTAATGCCTTTTTCAAATGATCAGATTTAATCCATTCAACAACTCTATGAATAACCTTGTGAGGTAGGTACCATTATCATCATTATTTTACTTAGAGGAAAAATGAGACTTAAGAAGGGATTAAGTAATTAGCTCAAGTTCCATATTTAGTAAGTGACTGAGCCAGGGATCAAAACTACACTGAGCTCACATATTCAACCTCAGTATTACATTGTATCAGAAAGAAAGTGAAAGAAGGAAGAAATTAGGTATCACATGAGAATGGAAGCCAAATATTACGTAGATACAATAATGAAGTGACATGTTTAAATCTAAGTAAACACACTTCACCTTATACATCTCGATGATTATTGATTATACATCCTATTCTTGTTATACTTAGTTGATGACTATCCCTTTCTCAGAGAGCCACTTGGCGAAGCTTTGGGAATATTAAACTAATAAATCCATGATTCACAACATTCTTCCTCTCTCTCCTTAGGACTGGCTGAAGATCTAAGAGCATATTCACTTGGATTTATTCAGGAACAGTAACCAACTCAGAGACGTCTTTTTGCACTGAGAGGCTGCCCTTCATGGAAACAGTAGAACATCCCTGAGATACAAGCTCAAGAGATATGGTAGGCTCTCAGGCTGGAAGGAAAACTCCATTCTCTTAGTTAAGGAAAGGAATGTTAATGTTATGGGAAGAGAATGGCCTTTGAAGCCACAGAGCCTTCAGTTCCCTTCTCCTGCTGCACACTTAGAACACGTGAGACTTTGCAAAAGTCACTTAACTTTTCTGAGCTTTTCTTTCTTTCATTAAAAGAGAAATGAGAATAGCACCTACTTCACAGTGCAATTTGTCATGCAATTGAAGTAATGTAACGCTTGTAAACAACATACCACAGGGCCTGGCACATTGTCAACATGAGATACTGTTCTGACAAGTATGGTTTTAAAACCATGAACCTGATTTCGAGGGTACATATGTGTATATGCTCATTAAGCCCTCCAAAGGGAGTCCAGAAAAGGTCTGAGGCCAGACTGTCCCATGTAAGATCTGCACAGGGTTCCCCTTTGAAGGGAGATATTCATTCCAGCCCATTAATTTGGCTTAGTTTGTGAAATCAACGAACATCATACTTTAGACACACCTCATACAACCCTGTACCGCCAAGGTACTTTGTGTGCAGTAGCACTGCAACAAATACTTGGCTGATTAATTCATAATTTGGGAACTTGGATGGAACTCGGGGTGGTGGAGGAGTGAATACTGTAGCCTGGCTCCCTCCACATCTGCTGGCAACCTCCTTTAAGTATTCTTTCTTTTGTGCTGAAGGCATTGGAAAACTGAAAACAGTATTTTCTAGATTCCTCTGCAGCTAAAGATTTGGATGTGATCTTGATTTTATAATTAGACACACTTAGCAATATTTGAATCAGGCCTAAGTTACGCAGGGAAGGTTGTTTTTTTTGTTTTGTTTTGTTTTTGTTTGTTTGTTTTGAGATGGAGTCTTGCTCTGTCACCTACGCTGGAATGCAATGGCGTGATCTTGGCTCACTGCAACCTCTGCCTCCTGGGTTCAAGAGATTCTCCTGCCTCAGCCTCCCGAGTAGTTGGGACTACAGGTATGTGCCACCATGCCCGGCTAGTTTTTTTTTATTTTTAGTAGAAATGAAGTTTCACTGTGTTAGCCAGGATGGTCTCAATCTCCCGACCTTGTGATCCACCCGCCTCGGCCTCCCAAAGTGGCAGGGAAGATTTTAACCTAAGAGATATTCTGTTGCTGGTATTGACCATTCAGCCTCAATGTGACCCTGGAAACAAGAGTCTCCGTAGTCCTTCCTGACCACCAGCATTCTTCTTATGGTAGAAGGTCCTTCCTCTGGTAGCCAATCCCACAGTGCTATTCTAGAAATCATTCTTGGAGGTTAATTCTGCAGCCTGCTCCTCAAGCTCCTCCAAAAATTCCCCATGTTAATTCTCAAAAACTGTTAAAGGAACAGTCCTATTATCTATAACTAAACCTTAAATGGGTACAATATTTAGTACCAGAAATGGTTATAGGCATTAGACTCTCTAGGATAAAAACCTGGTATAGGTTATGTAATCTGGCTGAGTCGAAGGCGGTGAATCCCTGGTTACTATTAGAGAATAGAAAACTAGTAGCCTAGAGCACCCACTGGTAAAGCAGTACTTAAATGAGTCCTATAGTCACCTGGAATGAAGAGTCTATTGAAGGCATAACTTGGCAAATGAAGTTGCCTTCATTATGCCAATACTCAGTACTTGGCACCTGTCAAAGGTATAGTGAACTCAGATAGTGAAAGGACCAGTAGTGCCCCCACCCTGACTCTGCCCACCTTTATCTCTCAACAGGACTGAAGAGCCACATATTCACCCATTACTAGTATTTGACATTCACCTGAAATTGGCAAAGGCACCATGACTATGCCACATTATTCTTCCAAATGGAATTATCATAGTTTTGGATAAGTGATAAGGTATGTCTTTATACATGCAAGGCAGTAAAATTATTCCCTGAAATAACAAGAATTTTGCTCAAGACTGGCTTTATGGTCTTTATGGATAAGCCATACAAATACATTACAGGCTTTCCCACAAATTGTCCCCCTCCCCCAAATTTTGAGAATCACCAATCTATCAGAGAAAAAAGAATAGACTACCAGAGATCTCCTCTTTTGCTTTTAATCACCTTCAGACATCAGAGGATGTCTGCTGTCTCTGTTTCAGCCCTTCCCAGGCTGCTCAACGAGCCCCCACAACTGGGAGATTTGGATGGGCCCTGCCTCTTCACTGGCTGCAAAGCAAAACAGGATGCTGGCTGTGTCGATGAGGAGCCCCCAGAAACCCTTCCTCACGATCTGGGATTGTGTTTACTAAAATATGTGTGGAGGTTTCCTGTTCCCTGTGCCAGATAATATTGTCTACACAAGAACAAATTGAATCTATGCCACATAGTAATTGCCAGGTGCCCCCAAAGTTGATGTGTTTGACTATGCAGTAAAGATAAAGTTTCTCCAAGGATCAACTCTCAGCATATTTGGCAAATTTAGTTTCGAATTCTTACTTACAAGTTTTTTCCCCTACATTACTCATTAAAAGAAAATAAAAGTACTGTTACCGTTTTTCCTTTGATAAGACTCAGACAGCCACGGCTCGGTTTTCCCTTGGGTCCTCGACAAAGCAGTTGTATCTCTCCACCTCACGGCCACAGACCACTCGGAGATCAAGGCTTCTGCATGCCCCCCCTGTCTTGAATGGAGGAGAAGAGAAGGTGTAAGTCTGAGTATGTAAATCCTGCCTGGTAGACAGCCTGTGTTGTTTGTTCTTGGTAAGAGGAGGCTCAATTAAGAGTTAACTCTAACCCCAGAGCCCTAAAGGCTTAGAACGAGACTCTGCAAGGTGTTCCTGGAGAGATTAATGAAGGTTATAGAAGGAAGCTAAAATGAATCTTAGAGAAAACCACAGGGCTGTGGTGTTTTTTTTTATTTCAACGGATGAAATGGAGGCCCTGCATCAAATTACTGGCAAAATCAATCCTAATGATGGCCACTTTCTAGAAAGTCTGGGGGCTTGGAGTTCCTCAACCGGGCCAAGCAAGCTGTTATACTCTCAGGGATATTTGACTCTAGATACAGATAACATCAGCCACGATGCTCTGCAATACTGAGCCAGTGGTATCTAAGCCAGGCAGAATAGAATACTGATGAACCCCAATGGACCCGTGAGCAGCACCTGGGAGTAGAGCTCTCTCCCCTGATTCTCACAGTTGACGTCTTCCTGTTCTCTGCTTTTCTCCTTCTTAGTTTCTGAAAGACCCTTCAGTGCCTCTGCTGGTATAAAACTCAATCCTGGCCGGGCTCGGTGGCTCACACCTGTAATCCCAGCACTTTGGGAGGCCAAGGAAGGTGGATCACGAGGTCAGGAGACCGAGACAATCCTGGCTAACATGGTGAAACCCCGTCTCTACTAAAAATACAAAAAATTAGCCGGGCGTGGTGGTGGGCACCTCTGATCCCAGCTACTCCTGCCCCCGAGTCCTCAGCCTGATTGATGGGCTTCTGGAAACCTGTTTGCTCATGTCTGTCTGTCCGATCATTGTATCTCCCCCTGCATCACAGTGGCTCAGTCATATTTTTAGAATGCATAAACTGTCGGCTCTTGGCTTAGGAGCTGAGTTGTAGCTCAGCTCTGCCCTCATCTAAGCTGGCTGGAATTATATTGCTTCTACTTGAGTGACTCCAACTATTGCTTCTTCCTGAGACGTCTGCTGGGGGTCTCACTGTCTAGGTTCCACCCCTGGGATAGTGATGTCAGCTCCCGTGAAACTTGCCGCAAATGCTGAGCACAGTACAACTTTGCCTGAGGCTAAATTACTCTCTGTTCCCTGAGTTCATGCCTCTTTCTCACTCTCAGGACTTTGCTTTTCCTGTTCCTCCTCCTGGCATGTTCTTTGCCCCACTTACCTGGCTAACTCCTACCTAATATGACAACTCCACGCCTTGCCTCAGATATCACTTAATCAAGTAAGAATTATCTGACTTCCTACCTCCTGCCTTCCCAGGTTTGGGGTTGAATAACCTGCTTCCACTGACCCTGCTTTCTACTGTAACATTTACCAATCTGTAGTTTAATCACCTGTTCATTTCCTTTCTCTACCAGTAAACTCCGGGCTTCTTGAGAGGTTAGGGTACAACTCCCTTGTTTACAGGTGTATCCTAAATATATGGAAGGTACTCAAAAATGTGTGTCGAATAAGTAACTTTAGGCAAAATTTCTAGTTACTAGATAAAAGTAATGGAATGGTCCTTCACTTTTCTGTACTCATTGTGTGAGACGTTAGAGTATAATAGAGAAAGAAAAAAATGAAAGAAGAATTCGAACGAGAAATAAAAGGAAGAAAAATCTGGAAAGAGGGAGGCTCTCTAGAGAGAATTTTTCAGGCTCAGAAGTTTGGAAATAGACCTTGACACTTCTGATTGAACAAGACACAGGGATACAGTGTGTTTTTCTCTAGTTTAGTGCCCTCCATTTATTGTAGTGTATTTCATCCATTAAATATTTCTTAGTGCTGGGAGCTTGGATCCAGGAAGGAATAAATGCATGGACCCTACTTTTGAGAAACTCAGACTCTGCTTCGATAGATGGACATGAAAATAATCAGTTTTTCCAAGTAGTCAAATGTTGCAAAAATAATAACAAGACGGGGGACATACGTGCTAGAACATGAACAAATAGGAATTTCATTGACAAAGTAGAGACAATTCAGAAAGTGTGAACAGCATGCATGAAGACATCATGTTGTGAAGGACCATGGTGTTTTCAGGTTACAGAGAAAAGTTCTATGTGGCTGGATCAGAGGATGCAGAGAGAGGGGATGGGGGGGGATGGGGAGGGATGGGGAGGGACGGGGAGGGACAGAGTGGTCAATTGGGTGCTGGAGTTCCCATTGTGAAAAGTGCGGGGTCCCATGCTAAGGGAATGGGAACCTCTGAGTGACTCTAGGTCAGAGGTAAACTATGGACCATGGTCCAAATCTTGCAAACACAATTTTATTGGAAGACAGCCACAAACGTTCATTTACTTACTGTGTCTGACCTCATTAGCACTACAAGGGCAGAGTTGTGTAGTTGTGACGGAGGCTGTCTGGTCTATAAAATCTAACATATATATCTACTGGCTCTTTATAGAAAGTTTGCAGATCTTTGCTCTGAGCCAAGGAGCGATGTGGTCAGACTGACATTTTAGAAAGATCACTCCAGCAGTTGCGTGAGTTTTTGCATAAGATCTTATTTGGACAAACAAAAGATGGTGTTTCTAGAAGACTTGAAAAATTCCAGCTTGCTTTATAAAACCCCAAATCCCTCAGCTATGTGCTGCACTATTATGATTTCTTCATCCTTCTTCTCCCAACCTGAGATCATGTTTATGAGCCCATCTCTAAACCAGAGTTAATTCCTTTAGGGCAAGGAATTGTAGTATTCTTATTTTTTTTTTTCATCTTTACACTGAGCCATCTGATTGCCTGCACTCTACAGCTTAATAAGTGAATTTAAATGAATTGTTGAAAGATTGCTCAAATGACAATCATTCATTTCATTGACATGAAAAGGTTGACAGCCACTATTACCTCATTCACCTGCTTTGAGTGTCCCCTGCCTGGGTGCTCATCTGTAGGTGGGGAGTGCAGAGGGGGAGATCTGGTCCTTTGCTCTGCCTGGAGCCCTAGGGAGGGCTCTGACTTGAAGACAGCTTTTATCCTAGTGTGTCTATGCCTCGTTTGCCTCCGGGTGCCTTGAGAAGATCTATTTTGAGGTCTTTTCCAGATTCTGTCCCCAGGTAGGCATCTCCTTGACTGAAATCCTAAAGAAAAGAAAGCAAGGTGAGGCTCAGGCTTGCTCCTGGCCACAGGAGTTCTTTATGAGGCTAATCGGCAGTTGCAAATAAAGATTAAGGACCAAGCAAACAACCCAGCAAGTGATAACTGCAAAGCTGGCTTAATCTTAATGAAATCTACAACATATATTTATATAAATCATAATGACACTTGCTTGCCTTCTGTGTAATTTGCTTGGATGGGTTTGGAATGACACAGCCAATTGTTTTGCCACTGCCTTTACCCTGTTTTGAAGCACTCCTCAGCAGCCCACGCCAGACCAACAATGACATCCTGCTGGTCCAGTGGGACCTTAAGCCTGTTGAAAATGCATTATGTTTAACTTCTCATCCTCCTAGGAGAGCAGGAGTTGTCTTCTAACCTGAATCTCAGAGAGGATGTGATGCAGGGAATTGTGGGTGTGATGACTATTATTGGGCTCCCATTAGCAATAATTTCCCTCCATCTCTTAACAATTCTCCATCCTGATGTCCTCAGGTATTCTAGGGTTCCCAGAACCGAGTTCTTTAGCATTCACTAATGTCATAATGACTCAGCTTGCCAATCTGGGCACAAAGAAGTCAGACACGAGCCAGTCACGGCAAGGTAGAAGCAGATAGCTGATGGTGCCTCCTCACTTCCTCCCTCTGATTCACTCTCCTCCCTGGCACCACGTCCCAGCCCACCCCTCCTGTGCCCACTGCTGTCCTTCCTGCTTGAGTCTTTAGTTCAGTGGTTCTCCAAATGTGTCCTGAGGATGACGCTTCAAAACTAACTAAGGTATTCGTCTAAAAATGCTCTTAATTTCTTGGGATGAGGCCCAATAATGTGCATTTCTAACAGACTTCCTGGATGATTCTTGTGCTCATTCAAGTTTGAGAACCATTGAGCTTAACCTATATATTGAGAGACCTCTGTTCCTTATTTTTTAAGACAGAGTCTCACTCTGTCACCCAGACTGGAGTGTGGTGGTACAATCTCGGCTCACTGCAACCTCCACCTCCCGGGTTCACGCCATTCTCCTGCCTCAGCCTCCCGCGTAGCTGGGACTACAGGCGCTCGCCACCCTATCTGGCTAATTTTTGTATCTTTGGTGGAGACGGGGTTTCACCATGTTAGCCAGGATGGTCTCCATCTCCTGACCTCAGGATCTGCCTGCTTCCACCTCCCAAAGTGCTGGGATTACAGGCATGAGCCGCTGCGCCCGGTGGAGACCTCTGTTCTTTAATCATAGTTCAGATCTGTCCTGTTTTTAATTTGTCCAATGACAAAGACTTCTTCATGAGACCTTCTCATTTCTTTTTATCCGTGGCTGAGTTTACCCTGGTCATTTTTGAATTTTGTATCTTATTCTTTTATCGCCAGAGACTTCTACTTGCAGTTTTGTTTGGCTGAGCCCAGCTTCTCCCATCCCTCTGTGGCGCCAGCTCCAGCTCAATTTTTTTTTTTTTTTTGGGGGGGTGGGTCTCAGCTCAAATGTCACCTCCTCAGAGAAGTCTTCTTTAGCCATCACATTTAAAGTACTTCCTGCAACTTGGTTACAGTCGCAATGTTGTGCTTCATTTCTTCTGAGCATGTGGCACAATTGGTTTATGCTGTTGTTGATTTATTTGTGTTTATTTTGCTATATCCCATGGAAATGTAAGTTTTATGAGGCCAAGAGCCTTGTTTGCCACATTTTCTATAGGCTTCTAGAACCTAGACCAGTGGCTGACATGCTGTAGATACTCAGGAAGCATGTGCTAACAGAATAGATTAATAAACTTTGTAGTATTCAAAGAAGGTGGTAGATTTCAAGAGAAGCAAAGCCATACATGCCACCCTGAGTGGATGGCCCGGGGCCATAAGATGACAGGACAGAGGCAGCAGTGCAATGCCTTACACTGGTACTCAGGGCTCTCTACCATGTGGTTCTAATCTATCTTTTTGGCCTTATATCTCATTAATCCTCTTGGAGTACCCTGTGCTTACTTAGCACTCCCTGTTCCTGAACGACACCATCAATTTTTTTTAAAATCTAAGACCGCTTATAAACTGGGCCCTCTACTAGAAATTCCTCCTTTCCCACTAATAATTCTATCCTTTTGCTTTTTTTTTTGAGACGTCTCACTTTGTTGCCAGGCTGGAGTGCAGTGGTGCAATGATCTTGGCTCACTTCAACCTCCTACTCCCTGGTTCAAGTGATTCTCATGCCTCAGCCTCCCAAGTAGCTGGGATTACAGGCAAGCGCCACCCCACCCAGCTAACTTTTTGTATTTTTAGTAGAGACAGGGTTTCACCAAGTTGGCCAGGATGGTCAGGATCTCCTGACCTTGTGATCTGCCCACCTCGGCCTCCTAAAGTGGTGGGATTACAGGCGTAAGCCACAGCACCCAGCCCAATTCTATTCTTTTGAAAAGTGCTGTCTCTAAGGCTTAATAAATACACAAATAGTGAGTGGTTTGCAGGTGTGCAGCACTGGGCTGAAGGATGGAAGCAGCCACTCATACTTCTCTGCATGGTCTTAGAAAGACCTTTCCCTCCAGTGGGTCTCAGTGAACTCATCCATTACTGTCAGATGTGTTTGGATGGTCTCCACAGGCTCTTCTAGTTCTGAAAGTACTCTGACATTCATAGTGGAAACACAGGCATTGTACTGAGCCAGAGGAGGGAAGGAATATCTGGGAAGACTTTCTGCATCTCCTCAAATGCTGCCACATAGAAAAACACTCTGTTTTATTGTGTTTTTTTTTTGTTTTTTGTTTTTTCCCTTAATTCCTCCAGGACAGCTGGGCAACACCAAACTGATGCAGCCAATTTCCATAAAACAAACAAAGACACCCAATGTCATGTTGAGTGATAATAGATTAGCAGCATCTTCAAATCAGAGGCATCATTAAATACTGGGTTCCATGAAGCACGCACAGGAAAGAGTTTCCAAATCCAATGTCAGCCTGCCCCAAGCAGGCAACCTGAGACTCAGGTCTTCTCTCTACAGGAAGAAAAGTGTGTCTGAATGTGAAGCTGTGAAGAGGGTCATGGTTACCAATACAGATGTACTGCCCAACCAGTGTTCCACCTTTCCCACGTCAGGCCCCTCTACTGGAACAAAAAACATTAGAATGAACTTTGATTGTCCTTATATCCACATCCTTTCAGAACAATATGAGTGAGTGAGAAAAGGCTTCTAAGGATTCCTCCAAGAACAATGGCATATATGGGCTTTGGTGACAGACAGACCTGAATTTGAATCCTAAGCCCTCCTTTTATTGGCTACAGGATATTGATCACATAAAATTCTTAGTTTCCTATTCTGTCAAAGGAAGGATCACTGGATAACCCATGTGAAGTGTCTGGCACCACGCTAGGGGATATTGTGGGTGATAAATACATTTTCTTTTCCCTTTTTCTATCATACAGATCATTTTGAGCTTTTATGGCTCCATCTTTGAATATATAAACATCTTACAACCATCCCCCTACAACCTCGTTTTTTAATTGAGGCGTTTGGTGGAAGGTATGAAGCTCTGCCCTCTCCACAGTTCATCCATCAAGCCTTCTGCCTTGTGCTTCTTACACTGTCTATCTCTCTGGTGGAGTGCTTATCAAAGTCAATCATCTTCCTTCCCAAGATGGAGAGCTGTACGTTTGAAATTCGAGCTTATAACTTTAGATCAAATGTAAATGGAGACCCTTCAGAAAGTTCCTTACATGGAGCCTGAGACCCCCTTAGGCTCCTGGGTAATGGTTTTCTTCCCTCTCAGTGAAGCAGATAAGACACACAGACTGTGGCTATTAATGTTTTTGTGGTTTTTTTGTTTGTTTTTTGACACAGAGTCTTGCTCTGTCACCCAGGCTGGAGTGCAGTGGCGCGATCTTGGCTCACTGCAAGCTCCATCTCCCGGGTTCATGCCATTCTCCTGCCTCAGCCTCCCAAGTAGCTGGGACTATAAGCGCCTGCCACCAAGCCCAGCTAATTTTTTGTATTTTTAGTAGAGACGGGGTTTCACCGTGTTAGCCAGGATGGTCTCGATCTCCTGATCTCGTGATCTGCCCGCCTTGGCCTCTCAAAGTGCTGGGATTACAGGCGTGAGCCACTGCGCCCGGCCGGCTATTATTATTCTTAAGTGTGGCATCTCAGGATCTGAACTCCCACCTCTGAGATGCATCATCCCTTTGTCACATGGAAGGAAAGCCTGTAGTGTTTGCTGCCTCCTGTTTCCTGCCCCTTTGTTCGCAAGTACACTCGTCTTTTTTTGTTTGTTTCAACAGTAGAAAGAAATGCATGTCCTTTTGGAACTTAAGACGAAAGATAATTGTGATTGGAGTTTTCCCACACCATAAGGTGTGCCTTGTCTCCTGCAGGGCGGGTCATCTGTGGGCTGTCCTCCACTTCCTCTGGGTGCTGAGTGAGCAACAGTGAGCAACAGCAGCTCTGGCTCAGAATTGCTTCAGCTGTTTGGGCTCTTTTTTGGTTTCCCGTGAATTTTAGAAGTTTTTCCTAGTTCTGTGAAAAATGACATTAGTAGCTTGATAAGAATAGCGCTGAATCTATAGATTACTTTGGGCAGTATGACCATTTTAATGATGTTGGTTCTTCTAATCTATGGGCATGGAGTATTTTTCCACTTGTTTGTATCATCGATAATTTATTTCAACAGTGTTCTGAAGTTCTACTTGTAGAGATCTTTCACCTCCGTGGTTAAATTCCAAGGTATTATTTATTTATTTATTTATTTTTGCAGCTATTGTAAATGTGATTGTGTTGTTGATTTGGCTCTCAGCTTGAACGTTATCAGTGTACAGAAATGCTACTGATTTTTATACATTAATTTTTATCTTGAAACTTTACCAAAGTCATTTATCAGTTCCAGAAGGCTTTTGGTAGAGTCTTTAGGGTTTTCTAGGTATAAAATCATGTCATCTGCAAAGAGAGATAGTTCACCTTCTTTTCTGTTTAGATGCCTTTTAATTCTTTCTCTTGCCTGACTGATCTGGAAAGGGCTTCCAGTACTCTGTTGAATAGAAGTGGTGAGAGTGGGCACGTATGCCTTGTTCTTGTTTTGAAGGAAAATGCTTCCAGTTTGCTCATTAGCTGTGGATTTGTCACAGACTGCTCTTATTATTTTGAGGTATGTTTCTTTGATGCCTAGTTTCTTGAGGTGGTTTATTATGAAGGCACATTGGATTTTATCAAAAGCTCTTTCCACACCTATTGAGATGGTAATATGGTTTTTAATTGTTAATGTGGTGAATTATTTGCATGTGTTGAATCAACCTTGCATTCCTGGAATGAAGCCTACTTGATCATGCTGAAGTAACTTCTTGATGTGCTTCTGGCATCATTTTGCTAATATTTTGTTTGATTTTTGCTTGAAACTACCAAAAGAGTAAACAGACAACCTACAGAACAGGAGAAAATATTTGCAAACCATGCATCTGATAAAGGCCTAATGTCAAGAATATATTTATGTCTATATTCATCAGGGATACTGGTCTGTAGTTTTCTTTTTTTACTGTGTCTTTGCCAGGTTATGGTATCAGGGTGATACTGACTTTGAAGAATAAATTAAAGAGGAGTCGTTTCTCCTTGATTTTTTGGAATAGTTTCAGTAGGATTGGTATTAGCTCTTCTGTATCTTGTAGGATTTGCCTGTGAATTCCTATGGTCTGGGTTTTTTTTTTTTTTTTTTTATTACTGATTCAATTCAGAACTTTATATCTGTTTAGGGTTTCAATTGCTTCCTGATTCAATCTTGGGACATTGTGTGTTTCCAGGAATTTACCCATTTTTCTCTAGATTTTCTGGTTGTGTGCATAGATGTGTTCGTAATAGTCTCTGATAATCTTTTGCGTTTCTATGATAGGTTGTAATGCCATTTTTGCCATTTCTGGTTGTGCTTCTCTAGACCTTCCTCTTTTTTTGTTAATATAGCTAGCGGTCTATTGATCTTGTTTATCATTTCAAAACACCAACTTCTAGCTTCACTGATTCTTTGTACAAAATTTTGCGTCTCAATTTTATTTAGTTCTGCTGATTTTAGTTATTTCTTTCTCCTGCTAGCTTTGGGGTTAGTTTGATTTTGTATTTCTGGTTTCTCTAGGTGTGATATTAGATCACTAATTTGAGATCCTTCTAAATTTCTGAGGTAGCCATTTAGTGCCATAAACTTTCCTCTTGGCACTTCCTTTGGTGAATCGCAGAGATTTTGGTATGTTATGTCTCTGCTTTCATTTATTTCAAATATGTTTTTGATTTCTGCCTGAATGTCACTGTTTACCCAAAAGTCACTCAGGAGCAAGTTTTTACTTTTCATGTAATTGTGTGGTTTTGAGAGATCTTTTTGGTATTGACATCTATTTTTATTCCTCTGTGGTCTGAGAGTATGTTTGGTATGATTTTGATTTTTTTAAAATGTACTGAGATGCTTTATGGCTGAACATATGGAAATATATATATTCTGTGGTTGATTGATTGGTGGAGTATTCTGTAGATGTCTGCTAGGTCCAATTGGTCAAGTATCAAATTTAAGTCCAGAATTTATTAGTTTTTTGCCTCAGGGATCTAACACTGTCAGTGAGGTGTTGAAGTCCCCCACTATTTTTGTGTAGCTCTTTAAGCCTTTTTGCAGGTCCAGAAGTACTTGTTTTATGAATCTGAGTGCTGCAATGTTGGGTGCATATATATTCAGGATAGTTAAATCTTCTTATTGAATTGAATCCTTTATCATTATGTAACCTGTTTTTTTCCTTTTTTTACTGTGTTAGTTTAAAGTTTGTTTTATCTGACATAAGAATAGCAATCCCTGTTCTTTTTTTGTGTTCCATTTGAGTGATAGATCTTACTCCAACTTTTTACTTTGAGGCTGTGGGTGCCATTACATGTGAGATGGTTCTCTTGAAAACAGCAAACAAATGGGTCTTGTTTTTTTAATCCAATTTGCCATTTTTTGCCTTTTAAGTGGGGTATTTAGGCCATTTACCTTCAAGGTTAATATTGATATGTGAGGTTTTGATCCTATCATGAAGCTGTTGGCTTGCTGAAGTTTCTATTGTGTGGCTGCTTTACAGGGTCTGTGGGCTATGTGCTTAAGTGTGTTTCCTTGGTAGCAGGTGTTGTTCTTTTGTTTCCATGTCTAGAACTCCATTAAGGATCTCTTGTAAGGTTGGTCTAGTGGTAATGAATTCGTTTAGTGGTTGCTTGTCTGGAAAATATTGTATTTCTCCCTTGCTCATGAAGCTTAGTTTGGTGGGATATAAAAATTTTGGTTGAAATTTCTTTTCTTTAATAATGTGAAAACATGCCCACAGTCTCTCCTGGCTTGTAAGATTTCTGCTGAGAAATCTGCTGTTAGCCTGATGGGATTTCCTTTATACATGATCTGACTTTTTCTCTAGCTGCCTTTAAGACTTTTTCTTTAGTGTTGACCTTGGACAGTCTGGTGACTGTATTCCTTGATAATGATCAATTTGTATAGTATCTCATAGGCATTCTCTGGATTTATTGTATCTAGATGTCTATGTCTCTAGCAAGGTTAGGGACATCTTTTTTAATTATTCCCTCAAATATGATTTTCAGCTTGTTTTCCTTTTCTCTATCTCTCTCAGGAATGCCAATAGTTCATAGGTTTAGTTGCTTTACATAATCCTATATTTCTTGATTTTTTTTAATTGAAATAAGATCTGGCTCTATCACCCAGACTGGAATGCAGTGACACAATCTTGGCTCACTGCAACCTCCATTTCCCAAGCTCAAGCCATCCTCCCACCTCAGCCTCCTGAGTAGCTAGGACTATAGGTGCGCACCACCATGCCTGGCTATTATTTATTTGTGTGTGTGTGTGTGTGTGTGTGTGTGTGTGTGTGTGTATTTTTTTTGTAGAGATGGGGTTTCACCATGTTGTCCAGGCTGGCCTTGAACTTATGAGCTCAAGTAATCTTCCCCCATCAGCCTCCCAAAATGCTGGGATTACAGGCATGAACTACTGTGCCCAGCCACACTGACTAGTTTAGTTTGAAAGACCAGTCTTCTAGCTCTGAAATTCCTTCTTCTGCTCGGTCCAATCTATTGACAAAGCTTTCAAATGTATTTTGAAATTTCTTAAGTTTTTCAGTTCCAGAAGCTCTGATGGATTTCTTTTCCATTTTTTTTTTTTTTTTTTTTTTTTTTTGAGACAGAGTCTTGCTCTTGTTGCCCAGGCTGGAGTATAATTGTGCAATTTTGGCTCATTGCAACCTCCACCTCCTGGGTTCAAGTAATTCTCCTGCCTCAGCCTCCTGAGTAGCTGGGATTACACACACACACACCATCACGCTGGGCTAATTTTTGTATTTTTAGTAGAGATGGGGTTTCAACATGTGGGCCAGGCTGTTCTCAAACTCCTGACCTTATGATCTGCTTGCCTTGGCCTCCCAAAGTGCTGGGATTACAGGCGTGAGCCACTGTACCTGGCCTGATTGATTTCTTTTTAAGATGTTTATGTCTTCCTTTTCTGGATTGCTTTAGAAGTTTCTTTGTGCAGGTTTTTAACCTTGTCTTGGATCTCATTGAGCTTCCTTGTAATCCATGTTTTAAATTCTTTATCTGTTATTTCTGAATTTCCATTTTGGTTAGTGACCACTGCTGGAGAGCTAGTGCGATCCTTTGGTGATGTCACTACCTTCAGATTTTTCATGGTGCTGGAATTCTTACACTGGTTCCTTCTTATCTGAAGACTTCTGATTTTTATAATTATTTTTGTGTTGGTAGGATTTTTTCTGTACATTATTATTTTTTCTCCTTTCCTTTACAGCATCTCCAAGCCTCTACCCCAAGTTAGCTCCAGGGATTGGGAGCAACAAAGGGCTCTCCCTCAGCCTTGGATCCCCAGTGGAAAGAAGAGTCATAGAGGGAGGCTCTCTGCCTCTTTCACATACTGGGGCTTCACTCACCTTATCCGCCTGATGCCAGCATGGGGGCTTTTTGCCTGAATTCTCCTTCCTGGGATCTGAGGTGTCCTTCACAATTCTTGTGGATTTCCCATTTTTCTTCTTAAATTAAAGCTCACAGAGTTTATCTTTATGAATTTCCAAGTGGCTAAGACATGCTAAAAGCCTCTAATTCACCATCCTGGAAAAAGAGATATAATAGTTTGAAATACAAAGGTTAATGCTGAAAAATACACACACACACACAACTAGAAGAGTTGAAAATGCCTTTAGGGGAGGAAATGAATGAGGTTCAGGGCAGGGGCAGGAACTGCTGTTTTTCATGATAAGTCTTATAGAGCTATTCGGCTTTTCATATAACATTCATGTATATCCTTAAAAGAAATTAGAATTACATTTAAAGAACACCTGCAGGCAGAGGCCGGGAATGTGCAGGTCATACTTGGATAATGCTTCATGTTGTATTTGGTAGAAATGGAAAATCAAACATCGTATGTTCTCACTGATATATGGGAGCTAAGCTATGAGGACACAAAGGTATAAGAATGATGTAATGGACTTTGGGGACTTGGGCGGAAAAATGGGAGGGGAGCGAGGGACAAAAGACTACAAATATGGTGCAGTGTATAGTCTTCAGGTGATGGGTGCGCCAAAATCTCACAAATCACCACCAAAGAACTTACTCATGTAACCAAATACCACTTGTACCCCAATAACTTATGGAAAAATAATTTTTTTTTGAGACAGAGTCTCACTCTGTCACCCAGGCTGGAATGCAGTGGTGACATCTTGGCTCACTGAAAGCTCTGCCTCCCGGGTTCACGCCATCCTCCTGCCTCAGCCTCCCGAGTAGCTGGGACTACAGGTGCCCACCACCATGACCAACTAATTTTTTGTATTTTTAGTAGAGATGGGGTTTCACCATGTTAGCCAGGATGGTCTCAATCTCCTGACCCTGTGATCCGCCCGCCTTGGCCTCCCAAAGTGCTGGGATTACAGGTGTGAGCCACCGCACCTGGCTGGAAAAATTAAAATTTTAAAAAAGAAGTAAAGGTAGATGAAAGAAAGGGGGAGTAGTCATGCAACTGATCTCTTATGGAAATAAAGTAAGAACTAAAGTTTGGTTTGGATATAAGTGGAGGTGGACAAAGTTTGGCAGACCTTAAAGTAAAATCACCCATAGTGTTTAATTGGATTTTCATGTGAATCCATTATCATTATAGGGAGATGAGGGTAACAATTTATCTCCATTTTACAAATGAGGATCTGAAACTCACAAAGATTAAGTGTCTTGGCAAGGGCACCCCACTTATGAGAAGCAGAGCTGGGACGTCTAACGCCAAGTTCATCACTCTTCTTAATTTTGCAGTGCCTGTTACCCTAAAGAGTTGGGCCTGAGCTCAAGGATGGATTATTGATACAGATAACAGGCAGCCCAAGAGGTGCATTTATTTAAACAGTTATTGACTAACCATCCACATTCATTCAGATGATTATGTGGTGCTCAACTAGGTGATCACTATGCATTGTTCACCTGTCCTGAAGCCAATCCCAGAGAAACTGGTAAAATAAGGTGACTCAGGCACAGACAGCTCTGACTCAGAGTAGAGCCTTCCTCAGACATCTTGCTTTCTCTGCTTGATTCTACTACTTATATTGAGTTTGCAGGTGTTCCCTACCTAGCTGCCTTTGAAAACACTCCATCCTCACTATGTCGTTTAGAAATTAAATCTGCCTGGGGTCTTGGCAGCAGTGACCAGTTTATTCCAGTTTGCCTGGAACTGTCCTTGTTTTAAGCACTGAAAGTCTCACAACCTAGGAAACCCTTTAGTCTCGGGCCCAGTGGAATGGCTGGTACTGTGGGGTATGTGTTTCTTGGCCACATTTTTGAATATGACCTAGTTTGGCCCATACGCTTTAAGATGATTCAACAAATTATGAATGGTTCTTTGAGAACTTTTCACATTAAGTACCTTGGTCCTGGATTCAGCTGATTAGAGAAGCAGGAGACATGCATATATTCCTCTTGTTTTTCATCCCCCCAGTGTTCCCAGCTGAACAAAAATCTGGTTATATAATCCAGGGCAAGTGATTTAAACAGCCTCATGTGCCTCATTGGTACTAACAATGCTTCACAGGGATGAAATAAGAAATTCTCTTCTGCTCTTTCCATGGTCTCCCTCTGATGCCGAGCCGAAGCTGGACTGTACTGCTGCCATCTCGGCTCACTGCAACCTCCCTGCCTGATTCTCCTGCCTCAGCCTGCCGAGTGCCTGCGATTGCAGGCGCGCGCCGCCACGCCTGACTGGTTTTCGTATCTTTTTGGTGGAGATGGAGTTTCACGCTGTGTTGGCCGGGCTGGTCTCCAGCTCCTAACCGCAAGTGATCCGCCAGCCTCGGCCTCCCGAGGTGCCGGGATTGCAGACAGAGTCTCGTTCACTCAGTGCTCAATGGTGCCCAGGCTGGAGTGCAGTGGCGTGATCTCGGCTCGCTACAACCTCCACCTCCCAGCCGCCTGCCTTGGCCTCCCAAAGTGCCAAGATTGCAGCCTCTGCCCGGCCGCCACCCCATCTGGGAAGTGAGGAGCGTCTCTGCCTGGCCACCCATCGTCTGGGATGTGAGGAGCCCCTCTGCCTGGCTGCCCAGTCTGGAAAGTGAGGAGCGTCTCTGCCCGACTGCCATCCCATCTAGGAAGTGAGGAGCGCCTCTTCCCGGCCGCCATCCCATCTAGGAAGTGAGGAGTGTCTCTGCCCGGCCGCCCATCGTCTGAGATGTGGGGAGCACCTCTGCCCTGCCGCCCCATCTGGGATGTGAGGAGCATCTCTGCCCGGCCGCCCCGTCTGAGAAGTGAGGAGACCCTCTGCCTGGCAGCCGCCCCGTCTGAGAAGTGAGGAGCGTCTCCGCCCGGCAGCCACCCCGTCCGGGAGGGAGGTGGGGGTCAGCCCCCGCCAGGCCAGCCGCCCTGTCCGGGAGGGAGGTGGGGGGTCAGCCCCCGCCAGGCCAGCCGTCCCGTCCGGGAGGGAGGTGGGGGGTCAGTCCCCCGCCCGGCTTGCCGCCCCGTCCGCGAGGGAGGTGGGGGGGTCAGCCCCCCACCTGGCCAGCTGCCCCATCCGGGAGGGAGGTGGGGGGGGTCAGCCCCCCTCCCGGCCAACCGCCCCGTCCGGGAGGGAGGTGGGGGTTCAGCCCTCCGCCCAGCCAGCCATCCCGTCCGGGAGGGAGGTGGGGGGGTCAGCCCCCCGCCCGGCCAGCCGCCCCGTCTGGGAGGTGAGGGGCGCCTCTGCCCGGCCGCCCCTACTGGGAAGTGAGGAGCCCCTCTGCCCGGCCGCCACCCCGTCTGGGAGGTGTACCCAACAGCTCATTGAGAACGGGCCAGGATGACAATGGCGGTTTTGTGGAATAGAAAGGGGGGAAATGTGGGGAAAAGATTGAGAAATCGGATGGTTGCCGTGTCTGTGTAGAAAGAAGTAGACATGGGAGACTTTTCATTTTGTTCTGTACTAAGAAAAATTCTTCTGCCTTGGGATCCTGTTGATCTGTGACCTTACCCCCAACCCTGTGCTCTCTGAAACATGTGCTGTGTCCACTCAGGGTTGAATGGATTAAGGGCGGTGCAAGATGTGCTTTGTTAAACAGATGCTTGAAGGCAGCATGCTCCATAAGAGTCATCACCACTCCCTAATCTCAAGTACCCAGGGACACAAACACTGTGGAAGGCCACAGGGTCCTCTGCCTAGGAAAACCAGAGACCTTTGTTCACTTGTTTATCTGCTGACCTTCCCTCCACTATTGTCCTGTGACCCTGCCAAATCCCCCTCTGCGAGAAACACCCAAAAATGGTCAATAAAAAAAAAAAAAATTTCCCGCCCCCCAAAAAAAAAAAAAAAAAAGAAAGGCAACTCTGATAGCTAGGCACAGATAGGTTGTATAATGGACATGCGCTCAGATACCAGGGTGAAGGCTATGCCAGTAATGATGTGTGTTTTTCCTTTAGGAAAATAAAACTTGTTTATTATGTAAAATGTATAAATCTCAGAAAAGCAGATATAAAAAAATTAAAATCAGATGTCTACCAACCACAAAAAAAAAAAAAAAAAAAAAAGAAATTCTGTTCTTTATAGACGTTGTAACAACTTATTTACTTTCTGTCTCCTTTCACTCAAATGTGAGGTTCAAGGGATTTTGTCTATTTTTTTGGGGGGGCGTTGGGGAGACAGAGTCTTGCTATGTCACCTGGGCTGGAATGCAATAGCACGATTTCAGCTCACTGCAACCTCTGCCTCCTGGGTTCAAGCGATTCTCCTGCTACAGGCTCCTGAGTAGCTGGGATTACAGGTGTGCACCACCACATCTGGCTAATTTTTGTATTTTTTAGTACAGACAAGGTTTCACCATGTTGGCCAGGCTGGTCTTGAACTCCTGACCTCGTGATCCACCCGCCTCGGCCTCCCAAAGTGCTGGGATTACAGGTGTGAACCACCGCGCCTGGCCTGATTTTGTCCATTTTCTTCACTGTGTTATCCATTGAATATATTTAGCCCATTGAATGTATATATATTCAACTATATCCTGCATATTTTTAGAGTAAATGAACGTTATTTAATGCTACACAAAACTAGCTATCCTCATCCCAGTTTTACAGATTAAGAAATTGGTGTTTATAAGTTTTAAGAAACTTGCTCATGGCCACAAATAAGTTTGTATCCAATCCCAAAGGTAAGGATCTCGGTCACTCTCCTAAGCTGAGACATGGTATGTGAGCCACCCAGCACAGTAGCTGGTTCATAGTAGGACAATACCTCCCCTTGCTATGACTCTTCTTTTTTTTTTATATTTATTTATTTATTTTGAGATGGAGTCTGGCTCTGTCGCCAGGCTCTAGTGCAGTGGTGTGATCTCAGCTCCCTGCAACCTCTGCCTCCCAGGTTCAAGCGATTCTCCTGCCTCAGCCTCCTGAGTACCTGGGACTACAGGCATGGTGCCACCACACCCAGCTAGTTTTTGTATTTTTGTAGAGATGGGGTTTCACCACATTGGCCAGGATGGTCTCGATCTCCTGACCTCGTGATCCACCCTCCCTGGCCTCCCAAAGTGCTGGGATTACAGGCATGAGCCACTGCGCCGCGCCCAGCCTGGCTCTTCTGTATCTCACTCTTAGTTATCATTGCTGCAGACAGCACAGAGACTGTGGCTGATAAACTTAAAGGCCTGGAAGCTTCTTCCTCCCTGTCTGCCTAGCACATTCAGGTCTGTTCCAGTAGGGAGGCAGGACCAATGCAGTGGCATTAATTGCTGGTGACGACTGTGCACATCTGAACCAGGGAAGTGGCACCTTCCATCAGCGCTTGTCTCTCCATATCATACTGGGAGTAATCTGACTTGACATTCCATCACCATTTGACAGGAATGTCACTGCCTGGAGACACACACACAAAATAAACAGGAAAGCCCTAGCAGAGTGACAGCCAGAACATCTGTGTGTGACAGTTGCGAATGGTCTGCACAAGTTAGGCTGGTTGCATGCGAGTGGTTGCTCACCCCATTGCACAGCCTGGAGTGTCCAATAGCTGCATCGAGGCCTGTCAAAAGTGTAGGGAAGAAGGGTACACTTTCCTGGGTTTGAATCTCAGCTGTGCTCCTCTGTAGCACTATATTCACACCAGTGACTTCCGTGTCACCTACCTTTTCATAATTCTCCTGAGGGTCTCTGTTTGCTTGGATTTTGCATCTACTCTTTTATTCTTTCTTACACTCCCAGCATTTACTTGCACGTGGACATAGCCCCTTGTCTTTACATTTCTCTTCTTTCCCAAGTAAGATAAATACAAAGAATGCATGTTTGCCTAAGATAGATTTCACTGGAGACTCTAGAATAATGAGCGTGTTGCACAGTGTCATCAACTCAAAATCTCATACTATTTGGCACTGGCCCCACACCACAGGGGACTCCTCCCATCCTCATGCACTGCTTAGTTTCCACTGTTTCACAAAATTCTCTTTTCCCCCTTCTTTCTTTGCCTTTCAACTTCTCCCTCCAGAAACAACCCTGGACCTTCAAATTCTTCTCCTTCTGCTACTTAGAACAGAGTAGATTTCCCTGCCTCAAGATATTGAGAGACAAAGGGCCTTAGAAGACAGTGATTAAACTACAAAGCAAAAAAGAAGAAAAAGACATCCTGTTCCACTGATATCAATATTAAAGACTGCATTATCTTTTGAGACACACCTCCTTTTCCTCTTTGCACCTGCAGCAGATTGTTAGATTTTTTTTTTTTAATTGTACTTTAAGTTCTAGGGTAGATGAATTACTGGGTATACACCCAAAGGATTATAAATCATGCTGCTATAAAGACACATGCACACGTATGTTTATTGCGGCACTATTCACAATAGCAAAGGTTGTTCAGTTTTCTATTCAGTGCCTCCACTGCTATGCAATGGGTTGCTGCTGTGGTACTTGCCACCTCCAGTTGATGACTGACGTCTCTCTTCGTGGACTCTAGTCTAACATCCATTCTCCATGCCATGCTCAAACCAGAGTTTTAGTGTCTGTAATCCCAGCTACTCAGGAGGCTGAGGCAAAAGAATCGCTTGAACCCAGGAGGCGGAGGTTGCAGTGAGCCAAGATCGTGCCACTGCACTCCAGCCTGGGTGACAGAGGCAGACTCTGGTGCCAGGCTTGAATGCTGTGCCCATTTAAGCTAATTAGGTTAGGTGTAAGACCCAAAGTCTTTGAAACGGACCATGCCATATTACCTGATCACAATGTCACTGGAGTCCCCTCCCTACCACGAGCTCTCACTGATCTTCTCTGTGCTTCCACTGACCCTGACACTGTGGATGATGACTTCTGATGAAAAGTGGCTGCTTGCCTGTGGACTAATCCAGTGCATTTTCCCAATTTTTTTTTTTTTTTTTTTTTTTGAGACCGAGTCTCATTCTGACGCCAGGCTGGAGTGCAGTGGCACAATCTGGGCTCACTGCAACCTCCGCCTCCTGGAGTCTTATTCTGTTGCCAGGCTGGAGTGCAGTGGCACGATCTCGGCTCACTGTAACCTCCGCCTCCTGGGTTCAAGCAATTCTCCTGCCTCAGCCTCCTGAGTAGCTGGGACTACAGGTGCATGCCGCCACTCCCAGCTAACTTTTCTATTTTTAGTAGAGATAGGGTTTTACCATGATGGCCAGGATGGTCTTGATCTCCTGACCTCGTGATCCACCCGCCTTGGACTCCCAAAGTGCTGGAATTCCAAGTGTGAGCCACCACACCTGACCCCCTCTTGGTGTTTTTAAACAACCCCCTCCATAGTGAAGGTAAAAGGTATAGGGCACACTTGAACCACTAGATGCTGCACAATTTATTTGCATTATCATTATTATAGTGTAATAATAACAGTATAGTCATGGTTTATTCATTTCTAAGACTTCCCAGCATTTCTTTCTTCCTTCTAACCCTTACCCCTCACTTAGGAGAATTTTGTCTTTTTTCAATCAATTTCAATCATTTTTTGAGGATAATTTTTTTCTTTTCTCACTCAACTTTTTCTCCTTTCCCCACCCTTAGGAGAGTTCTATGTTTGCCTCAGAGGCTCCCTAACATATTGTGTGCAGAATGGAGAAT
Organism: Homo sapiens; assembly: GCF_000001405.40. NCBI lineage: Eukaryota > Metazoa > Chordata > Mammalia > Primates > Hominidae > Homo > Homo sapiens. The sequence continues at coordinate 34,621,521 of NC_000022.11, read as the reverse complement.
CTGAGTAATGAAAAAGCGAGGACTGGGAGGCGGGGGAAAGGAGAGGCCAGCTGTGGATTTCAGCTCCCAGGCCCTTCTTTGTTGTGAGCAAATGGCTGGGGCAAGAAGAAAGCTCTGCGGAAGTAAAGCCGACTACATGATAAAGAGCTTGATGGAGAGCCGGGCATGGTGGCTCACACCTGTAATCCCAGCACTTCGAGAGGCCCAGGCAGGTGGATCACTTGAGGTAAGGAGTTACAGATCAGCCTGGCCAACATGGTGAAACCCCTTCTCTATTAAAAATATAAAAACTAGCCAGGCATGGTGGCGCATGCCTGTAATCCCAGCTACTCAGGAGGCTGAGGCAAAAGAATCGTTTGAACCCAGGAGGCGGAGGTTGCAGTGGGCTAAGATCGTGCCACTGCACTCCAGCCTCGGTGACAGAGGCAGACTCTGCTTCCCCCAACACCTCCCACCCGACCGCCACCAAAAAAAGAGCTTGCTGGAGGAAGGGAAAACCGCAAAAATATGACAGCTGATGTGAGAGTGAGAATGTGGAAGATTAGGGGTAAGAGGCTGTACAGCTGTGCACCAAACACAGCAATCACTAGATACATCCAACTATAAGATTGAAACCTAAAGTAGGTAAAATTAAATAAAATGAAAACTTCATATCCCCAGTTATATGAGCCCATTTCTAGTGCTCAGCAGTCCCATGTGGGCAGTAGCTACTATATGGGGCAATGCAGATATAAAACATTTCCATCATCACAGAAAGTCCTTTCAGATAGCATTACTCTAGAGCTACTGCAGGGTGTGAAAGAAATCAGAGAAGAGAAGGAATTTTTAAGAAGTATTGCTTCGCATTATAAATCAGATTTTCTTTATCCTTCTAAGAGAGATGCAGATAAAAAACTATTTTTTTCAGTGATAAAGATACTTTTGACAGTTGATCTCTATTGTTTTTTGTATGGAACCAGGTATAGAGTCAGTCTCCATGAGTACACCAAATCAGATCTTGTTACAAGTGATTGCAAATGGGATTGTCAATTGCGAGACATCATTATGTAGGAGAAAGACTATTGAAGTTGGCTTCCAAAAATCTCAGTTCAGATCCCAGCTCCTTCACTTACCATGTAAAATCAAAGTATGCTGGCAGATAAGAATGACTCCCTTTCCCACGGTTTCATCTTGAGATTTGGCAAGAGAAATGTCAGGCAGTGAACATTTACCGAGCTCCCACTAAGAGCAAACTCGCCAATGGCTCAGTTCTGAGAGCAAACAGAATGTGAACAAATCGCTCTTCCAGAGGAGTTCTGATCGGAAAAAAGAGAACAGGCCGGGCACGGTGGCTCACCCCTGTAATCCGAGCACTTTGGGAGGCTGAGGTGGGAGGATCATGAGGTCAGGAGATCGAGACCATCCTGGCTAACACTGTGAAAACCCTTCTCTACTAAAAACACAAAAAATTAGCCGGGCATAGTGGCAGGTGCCTGTATTCCCAGCTACTCCGGAGGCTGAGGCAGGAGAATGGCATGAACCCGGGTGGTGGAGCTTGCAGTGAGCCAGGAGCATGCCACTGCACTCCAGCCTGGGTGACAGAGCAATCCTCCATCTCAAAGAACAAAACAAAACAAAAAGCAGAATAAAAAAAACAAACTCAGGAAATCTCCCCATGGATGTACACACAGGCGCACATGACAATCTCGAAGAATTTGGAATGCTAGTGGGACTTGGTATGATTCAAGTGGAGATGGATTAAGCAGGTCAGTCATCCTTTTGTCCTGGCTTGTCTTCTCAGGGCTATCTATCCACCTCTTAATTAGTCTATTATGCTTGCAGGTGATTTTATCTATAAGCATTAAGTCAAAACACTCATTGGCATTCAATCTCCCAGACTCTTTATGCTTTCATTGGCATAAGTGAGATGAATTCACTTTTGCAAAGAGGCCCATCACCAGATAAGAGTTTGCACTTGCAGGCTCCTCAGGTAGGAAAAGGTGTTTAGATTGGCTTTATCAGATCAGAAATTTAGTTGGCCATCCTGCTATCAGTTTTTTGAAAATTTTATGGGTACACTGGGAAAATAAGGGTGGTTGTTTGACAGTTTCCCTTTGAGTTAGTTCTAGGATCGGAAGCCTGGTGAAAAAAAATCTTGAATAAAACTACTGTTTAAAAAACCTTAGATCTTTCCCTTGCTTTGACTGTATCATCGAGCCATGTTTCAGTAAGGCAGCAGAAAGATGGTGCATTGCCATCCTGCATGTCTAACCGCCTGCCCAGCCCAGGGCTTCAATGCACTGAAGTGTGATTTTTTTTTTCCTTCAGTTTTATGACTTAGGTAACCGGGAAAATGAAACTGCATGCATTGAAGAGATCCCGACTAGGCAGGCCCTAACAAAATATAACTTAAAAATCTTTTACAGAGTCTTTGATAGCAAAACTTAATCATTCCCTTTCAAATACCCATTGACTTTTTCCTTGCAAACAGAGCCCTTTATGTGCTAAGGCAGGCAATGTGCTCAGTGAATAATTCATATTCCTAGCCTCCCATGCAGCCAGGATTGAGATATGACATAGTTCTCAAAAACAACAGGAATTTTGATATGCTATGTAGGATTTTCCAATTTGCATTATGCAAATACTTCTACTATGGTTGATTTCAAGGAACCAATGGTTTAACAACTGGCACATAAAATCCCTAAAAGTGTAACAATCAACTCTCTGAAGCGGTACAAACCAGCTTTGGAAGACAATTGGTTCTAGCCAATGAGACAGTAGCTGAATTCTCCTGAAATTTCTAGGAATGTTTTGGCCTTTCTGGCAAAAAAATAAAATAAAATAATTTAAAAAATTTTAAAAAAAGATAAATGCTGTAATTACCCCAG